>NC_000011.10:32332727-32484242 GCF_000001405.40 Homo sapiens | reverse complement strand
CACAGTTTGGGCTGGATGCAGTGGCTCACGCCTGTAATCCCAGCACTTTGGGAGGCCAAGACGGGCAGATCAGTTGAGGTCAGGAGTTTGAGACCACCCTGGCCAACATGGTGAAACCCCGTTTCTACTAAAACTACAAAAATTAGCCAGGCGTGGTGGTGCGTGCCTGTAATCCCAGCTACTCAGGAGGCTGAGACTGGAGAATCGCTTGAACTCGGGAGGCAGAGGTTGCAGTGAGCCGAGATTGTGCCTCTGCACTCCAGCCTGGACAACAAAGCAAGACTCTGTCTCAGAAAAAAAAAAAGAGAAAGGAAAAAAAAAAGAAAGAACACAGTTTAAATCAAGGGTAGTTTAATGGCAAAATTGGCAAGATTTGTCACTTTTTCATTCATCCAATAAACACAAACCAAACTTCTATTACAAGAATAGCAAATATGTGGCACAGGTTGCTGCTCGTTTTTGTGCTCAGAGCAGACATTACTAGTTTATAAGGGTGTTCTTTCCTGTTGAATCTGGATGTGGCTTCAGAATCCTTTGCAATATAGCCCTCAAGGCAATCACTGCTAGGGATCAGAGATGGGTCATGTGATGGCTAATTTTGGGGTCAATAAAATGATGTCAAATTGGCCAGGCCACAGTACCCAGAAATGTGGTCAAACATTATTCTAGAAGTTTCTGTGAAGATGTTTTGTTTTTGTTTTTGTTTTTGTTTTTGTTTTTGTTTTTGAGACGGAGTCTTGCTCTGTCGCCCAGGCTGGAGTGCAGTGGCACGATCTCGGCTCACTGCAACCTCTACCTCCCGGGTTCACGCCATCCTCCTGCCTCAGCCTCTCAAGTAGCTGGGACTACAGGTGCCCACCACCATGCCTGGCTAATTTTTTGTATTTTTAGTAGAGATGGGGTTTCACCGTGTTAGCCAGGATGGTCTCAATCTCCTGACCTCATGATCTACCTGCCTTGGCCTCCCAAAGTGTTGGGATTACAGGCATGAGTCACTGTGCCCAGCCCTGTGAAGGTATTTTTTGAGGAGATACTAACGCTTAAATTAGCAGACTTTGAGTAAAGCAGATGACCTTCCATAATGTGAGTGGACTTCATCCAATCAGCTTTAAAAAAAAAATAAATAAATAAAGGCCGACCTCCCCCGAGGAAGAAAGAATTCTGCCAGCAGACTGCCTTTGAACTCAAACTGCACCTTTTCCCTAGGTCTCCAGCCAGCAGTCTGCAGTGCAAATTTTGGAGTTAATGGCCTCCACAATTATGTGACCCAATTGCTTAAAATCTCTCTTCTCACATGTATATATACACATATAAACATGTACACAACCCTGCCCCCTGCGACACACACACACACACACACACACACACACATAAGCATCTTGTTGGTTCTGTTTCTTTGAAGAACCCTGACTAGTACAGGTGGCATACTATTTGCAAAAGATTGTTTGGTGGCAAAGGAACAGAAAGTCTCTTAAGCTAATTTAAGTAAAGGGGATACTTTTAAAATAAACACATTTTTTGTTTGTTTTTTTTTAGACCAAGATCTCACACTGTGGCCAACCCTGGAGTGCAGTGGCACAGTCATAGCCGCTGCAGCCTCGAACTCCTGGCCTCAAGCAGTCCTCCAACCCCAGCATCCCAAAGTGCTGGGATTATAGGCATGAGCCACCTTGCCTGGCAAGAAACACTTTTAGTATTCAATATTAACCTCAATCCCAATTCATTACAACATCATTCGTATCTGAAATATTTTTCAAAATAAAAATCCTCTATATGTCCATACAGGTTTTCCCCAGCTTCTGAGCGTCATCATTTGTTCTCAGCCAGTGAGAGTTAGAGCAAAGGGATGATCCTGTTCTCAGCCAGTGAGCATTAAGGCACAGGTCTGCCACTGCCTCCAGCCAATAAGCTGAGCTCCACCATGGAAATTGAATGTGTCCCACATGGCTTACGGAACCATTAAGAAACAGGACTGCCACTGCCTCCAGCCAATGAGCTGATACTACAGCATGGGAATTGAATGTGTCCCATGTGGTTTGTGTTTACTCTGCTCTGGCCTCCCCTTCTTTTCTGGCCTCCCTTTCTTCCCTGGCCTCCCTTTGTGCCATCACTTTGGTGTCCCGGCAAACAGTTTTGACCCAGACTAACTGACTAAGGGATACGGACGATAATACTGGACCTATTGCAAAGAAGTAAAAGGGATAGTGTTATGCTGGATGTTACTGATAGCATGCAGTTCTGTGTTTTCTTTTGTTTTGTTTTGTTTTGTTTTGTTTTGAGACGGAGTCTCGCTTTGTCACCCAGGCTGGATTTCAGTGGCGCGATCTCGGCTCACAATAGCATGCAGTTTTTTTGAGAAGTTCTGGGTCCTCCAAGGCATCAGAGGAAGAAGCAGAGGGTCTAACTCAGGAAGCAAATAGGGGTAGGTGGGAGTCCTTTGATATCCACAGCACTTCATACAGGTCAGTGCAGCTCAGAAAGACTGACCAACAATTGTATGAGCAAGAGCTGGAAATAATTATGGGAGGAAAATGGAAGAGTCATTGCCGGAATACAAGTCCTGGGTCACATCTGGTGACTGTGCCGGGTGGGCTCCTGTGGGCGGCTGCTGGAGACAGTGGGTGTGACGGCCAGGCTCTGCTCTCTGTGACTGCGTTGTCTGTCTTGCTTCTCGTGCTTCTCTACCTCATTTTCCTTTTGGCAGGTCAGCCTTCTCGGCAGGGCTCTTGGTTCCTGCCACCCCATAACATGGGCTTTGCTTTGGCTCAGGGTTACCACAGCAGGCATTGTTGCTGTCCTGCGCAGATTCTCTGGTCCATCTTGGTGTTCAGCGGCAATAGTGGCAGACCCTTTCCTACAGGCTGGAGAATCCCCGCCCAAGCATCCGCATAGCTCTGCTTCTTTGTGAGCTTTCTCCTTGGCCAGGGGAACGTGCTGGGCTGCAGCCACAACCAGTGGGGGATGGGCGTCACTGGATAAATGCCCCAGTGTTTCTTTCTTTCTTTTTTTTTTTTTTTGAGACAGAGTCTCGCTCTGTTGCCCAGGCTGGAGTGCAGTGACACAATCTCGGCTCACTGCAAGCTCCGCCTCCCGGGCTCACGCCATTCTCCTGCCTCAGCCTCCTGAGTAGCTGGGACTACAGGCGCCCGCCACCGCGCCCGGCTAATTTTTTGTATTTTTAGTAGAGACGGGGTTTCACTGTGTTAGCCAGGATGGTCTCTATCTCCTGACCTCGTGATCCGCCCGCCTCGGCCTCCCAAAGTGCTGGGATTACAGGCGTGAGTCACTGCGCCCGGCCAATGCCCCAGTCTTTCTGTTCCCTGGTGGGAAAATTCTGAGGTGTGCCCCACATGCCTTCTCAGAGGGTCTCAAGAGGGATTAAGCCATCATTTCCCAAAGCTGTACCTGCTTGTTAATGCACCCTTTACTGGTTTTGTCTTTTTCTCTTTCTACTTTCTGCTTCCTGGGACCACCTCCCAAACAGATTTCCTATACCCACATCCTTGTGTCAAGGTTGGTTTTTTTTTTGTTTGTTTTTGTTTTTGTTTTTTTTTTGCGATGGAGTCTCGCTCTGTTGCCCAGAGTGAGTGCAGTGGCACTCACTGGAGTTCAGTGGCATGATCTCGGCTCACTGCAACCTCCGCCTCCCGAGTTCAAGGGATTCTCCAGCCTCAGCCTCCTGAGTAGCTGGGATTACAGGCGCACACCACCACACCCGGCTAATTTTTGTAGTTTTAGTAGAAACGAGGTTTCACCATGTTGGCCAGGGTGGTCTCGAACTCCTGACCTCAACTGATCTGCCCGTCTTGGCCTCCCAAAGTGCTGGGATTACAGGCGTGAGCCACTGCATCCAGCCCAAACTGTGTTCTAATAGAACTGTTTGGTCTCAACCAGGGAGGGTGAGCAAATGTTCATGTGCATCAGCATACATGCACAAGAGTGTTCCCAGCAGGCTTATTAGTAACATCCCCAAGCTAGAAATATTTTTAATGTCCATCAACAGTACATGGACAAATAAAAAAAATACTGTCCTGCAATGAATCTAAATTGCAATTACATGCAAGGTGGATGGTTCTCACAAACGCAAGGTTGAGCAAAAGAAGCCAGACATGGAAGAACAATGCATTCCTCCCATTTATATAAATCTCAAAGCCAGATTCTATCTAGATGCAAACTTTGGTGCTAAATTATTGTTTTCAGAAGCAGAAATGTGATTCTCGTAAAAGCCACGATAATGGTTATCTCCAGGAGCATGGCAGAAGCTTTGAGGGAGGGTTAGCCATATTACACTTCTTGACATGGGGGTTAACTTTATAACAACTTGTTAAACTGCATTTTTGTGTATGAGGGTTATATCTCACAATCAAATGAGTTTAAAATTTCCCCCCAAGGTCTCCTTCTGTCAATTCCTGAAGAAAGCAAAAGCGCAGGGAAGCCCACAGACTGCTGACCCTCAGGCAGCCTCTGCCCAAAGAGGCCTGTGCATTCCTTCTTCCTCCCCAAGAGTGAACACTTAAAACCCTTTTCTGTGTTGCCTTTCCCTCCAGAACAAATGTCTTCATTTTAGTATGGTGATTAGATTTACAATACAACCAATTTAACAGTTGAAAGCCTAAAATTCATCCTCAGAAGAACTTGCAAGGCAGCTGCAAGAAAGATGAATGTCACTCATGGGATGAAAAGCCTAGAAGGTTTTCGGGGAAAGGTTCAGTAGTGTGTACGTGCAAAGCCTATTCTTAGCAGAAGGCCCTGTTAGGGGATAGAGTGTCCTTCTGTCTCATTATCAGCTGGAAGTGCCTGGGATAAGTGGACTTTGCAAGTCTCCCCATTGTTGTTCAAAATTCCTGGTATAAAGAGCAGGCTCTCACTCTCACGATCTGCCTTCCAAGATCCTAGGCTTAAAATTCAGAATTCAACTTCAAGGGAGTTAGAGAAAAGGCGGAGTGATTTTAAGGGCAGGTGCTGGAGGTTTACTTTTGCCTCTTTTCATAGCTTTTAGTACTAAGAAATATGTGGTTCAATATGCTTTCTTCCCTCTGGAAAACAGATTCTACTCCCCTC
Source organism: Homo sapiens (assembly GCF_000001405.40). Taxonomy (NCBI): domain Eukaryota; kingdom Metazoa; phylum Chordata; class Mammalia; order Primates; family Hominidae; genus Homo; species Homo sapiens. The sequence continues at coordinate 32,479,181 of NC_000011.10, read as the reverse complement.
CACCTCATCTCTGCCTGAAGAATAACAAATTTCATATGGAAACCTGAAAACCCGAGGAGAAATGTGCAATGCTACAGACACCTCATGTTGGACTGGCTGTCACAGACCCTGGTTTGGGTCAGGCTGTTTAAACTTCTTTGGAACAAACGTTTATCTACAGCAGGGTCATTTTATAGATCCATTAAATCTACATTTTCTCTTGGGCTCCTTTCCCCAGCTCCCCTCAACCCTGCTCTAGTCATACAGTCTAAAAACCCCCTTAAGCTCCCGAAATAAATCTCTATAAACTGCCAAGTATTCAATCAGGCTTTTACTGTATCTCTTTGCAATTAGAATAAATTTACTGCTTGGAGAGATGGGGGGAAATATGCAAGGTACTCCTTGGATAAATATACCGCAGTGAGAAAAGTAGAGACTCTGTAAAAATTATCTCTGTGAATTCAACAAGAATCAAGGTCACGGGAACCGCTACATACCAGGGATCGTTAATTAATGGGCCTGCAGCTGGTGGTACCACTTGGATGCTCAGCTCCAGCTGCCTGCTCCATATTTCTCTTGTTTGCAGGACTATTCTTGGACCAGATCCCATCTCTTTTTTTCCTCCAAGTACAAAAAGTACATAAGTCTACTCTGGAAGAATGCCAACCTTTCAGAGAACTAAGGAAAGTGTTGTTTCTTCGCTATTTTTATCTCCTTTTTAAAGAAAGGACACTCTATCACCTCTGGAGCTGGATTACTTGTAATCAGCGTCCAAGCTGTGGTCTGAGGTCACTGTTCTGGCACCGTGTCTACAGGGAGATGTCTTGAATATGGAGAGCAGAGAGGGACACTTGTAACTTCTCCTCAAACTAAAACAGAAAACAGCAGAAAAGATATACCTATTTTCATTGACAACACGGTTTGCATTTTAGGCTGGGTTGGAGGCAAGGTAAAATGGCAACCAGAATGCACCCAGTGTCTCCGAGCTGCAGGGAGAGAGGGAAGGAAATAGGAGAGAAAGGAGAAAAGAGTCTGACAGAGGAGGCAGAAAGTGTTTCCAGGGTCAGGGTGGTTTATGCCATTTAAACCTGCTGAAGACCATGCATGTAAACCACTCAGCACACTTAGCTGGGACACAGGTAGCTATTGTTAATTATAACAAAATTCCAGAGTGGAGGTACAAAAGAAGTGTTCAACATGAGCCCATCCCTGCACTGCCACGAGACTGTATTTAGGCAGCGCATCATTCTGGTTAAGCACAGACTTCAGAGTCAGGAAGATCTGAGTTTGAGTCTCACACAACCACTAAGTAGCGATGACACTGGCAGCTTAATGAGCCATCTGCAACTTCAACTTCCTCATCTGTAAAATAGGGCTAGGAAGTGTATCTGCCTCCAGGCTATTGAGAGGATAAAAGAGACACTGCATGTAAGACCTTTGGCACAGTGTGGGCACATTGGTAGTCTCCATAAATATTCATTATTATAATGGGTCTATTATAACTGCTGTGTGGATACGGCAGCAAGAGAAGAATCTGGGAGTTTGCCTCTCTGAGCAGGTGAAGGTGACTTCAGAAGAGCTGTTTTCTGAAGCTGTGAAAATGGTCTCACTTGTCTCTATTGCACCCAGCCTTGTTTTTCTTCTCATTTGGAAACTTTCTTTCCACTGGTGTTACATAGTGGAGGGACTGGCCGTTCTTCCACACAGTGGCAGACATGCAGATCTCGCCCAGAAATCACAGGGAGAATGCCTGACTCTGCTTCTTTTTTTTTTTTTTTTGAGATAGAGTCTCACTCTGTCGCCCATGCCAGAGTGCAGTGGCACAATCTCAGCTCACTGCAACCTCCAAATCCCAGGTTCAAGAGATTCCCCTGCCTCAACCTCCTGAGTAGCTGGGTCTACAGGTGCATGCCACCACGCCCGGCTAATTTTTTGTATTTTCAGTGGAGATGGGGTTTCACCGTGTTAGCCAGGATGGTCTTGATCTCCTGACCTCATGATCCGCCCACTTCGGCCTCCCAAAGTGCTGGGATTACAGGCGTGAGCCACCATGCCCGGCCTGACTCTGCTTCTTCAAGGAATTCTTCAGGTAGTCATTAGCCACGAACTCCAGACCCAGGGCCCGAGGATGGCTGTCCCACTCTACTCCTAAAACAAGGGGGTCATGGTCCACTGGGGCGGGTTTCTTTATGAAGGAGACCCAGCTTCACTGAGCCCTTTTTTAAGGAAGGAAGAATGTTCTCAAAAATTGGAAATGTTCTTCTTGACTACTTCCAAACTGTAAAATGATATTTGGGCCTTTTAAAAGACTTGGGAAATTTTCTGAAATTAAGGAATATGGATTTAAAGGAAGGCTTGAGGGATTAGATTTGTCTTCCTCTTTGAAGCATTTGAAACAACTTTAATCTGCTTTGAGAGTGCTATCCAATTTGGCATGGCATTCTGGTAAAGTATTTTTGCCTTCTTCATGGAACTGATCCTTTTGTGCCCCGTTTTAAACCCATTTGGAGAAATATTTACAGTACAGAGAAAAATTAAGCTTGAATTTTAAACACAGGACTATTCAGAGTGAAGAAATGCCTTCTAAAAGGCTTTAAAGACATTATTAAAGTTTTGTTTGACATATAAAAAATCAAACAAACAAACACAAATCTAGTTATATGCAGCTACAATGATATGACTGTGAATTCTTGGGTTTTGGGCCTTCTATCCTATCATAAATCCACTATTATGATAAAAATGTTATTCTCAAATTACAGCATTACTTTGGGAGACAGATGCTACAATTATTATTTTACTGACAAAGGAATTAGGACTCAGGGAGTTTGAGAAAAAAAAATGCCTAAGGAAGATGTAATACAGCAGGAAAAACGGGACTCTGGGTTTTGATCCCAATACCTTTTCCATATTGAGGTAGGAGGTGGGACTCAACTCCAGAGGCAGGGCTTGGACACTGGACCAATTTGGGCACCAGCTGAAACAGGGACTAGGCAAAAGCAGCTTTCTTTTTCTTTTTTTTTTTGAGATGGAATTTTGCTCTGGAGTGCAATGGCGTGATCTTGGCTCACTGCAATCTCTGCCTCCCGGGTTCAAGCGATTCTCCTGCCTCAGCCTCCCAAGCAGCTGGGATTACAGGCATGTGCCACCACGCCCAGCTAATTTTTTGTATTTTCAGTAGAGATGGGGTTTTTCCATGTTGGTCAGGCTGGTCTCAAACTCCTGACCTCAGGTGATCTGCCCACCTCGGCCTCCCAGAGTACTGGGGGATCACAGGCATGAGCCACGGCACCTGGTCCTTTTTTTTTTTTTTTTTTTTTTAGACAAGAGTCTTACTGTCACCTAGGCTGGAGTCCAGTGGCGTGATCTCAGCTCCCTGCAACTTCCGCTTCCCAGATTCAAGCGATTCTCCTGCCTCAGCCTCCCAAGTAGCTGGAACTACAGGCATGCACCACCACGCTTGGCTAACTTTTGTATTTTTAGTAGAGATGAGGTTTCACTGTGTTGGCCAGGCTGGTCTTGAATTCCTGACCTCAGGTGATCCGCCCATCTCAGCCTCCCAAAGTTACAGGCATGAGCCACCATACCCGGCCAGAAGCAGCTTTCTATAAGACACACTGGCCAGTGTGCCATGTCAGTTTCCCATTGCCATGCTAACCTCCAGGTGTTACTGCCCCTTTCCATGGCAATGATGCAGGACCCAAAAGTTACCACCCTTTTCCTAGCAATTGCTGTATAAACCATCCCTTAATCTACATGTAATTAGAAGTAGGTATAAATATGACTGCAAAACTGCCCTGAGCTGCTAACTCCCAGCACACTGCCTGTGGGGTAGCCCTGCTCTGCAGGAGCAGTCACAGAGCTGTAACACTGCCAGAGTTGTAACACTGCTGCTTCAATAAGGCTGTTTCCTTCTACTCCTGTCCCCCCATTGGCTCGCCATTGAATTCTTTCCTCCTGGTGGAAGCCAAGAATCTTTGTGGGTTAAGCCCCCATGTTGGGGCTCACCTGCCCTGCATCAAATATCTTCCTTTTTTTTTTTTTTGAGTCAGACTGTTGCTCTGTCACCCAAGCTGGAGTGCAGTGGCACGATCTGGGCTCATTGCAACCTCCACCTCCCAGGTCCAAGCAATTCTCCTCCCTCAGCCTCCTGAGTAGCTGGGACTACAGGCATGTGCCACCATGCCAGGCTAACCCCTATTCTCCATCAATTGAATTCTCCAGCTTGATCCATACTCATTGTTATGACCTTGAGACACTATGGGAAGAAAGACTGAATTAAATTTGGTAGAATTGCTGTTATTATATTTTATTTTTAAGATAGAGTATTGCTTTATCACCCAGGCTGGAGCGCAGTGGTGCAATTATGGCTCACTACAGCCTCAACCTCTGAGGCTCAAGTGATCCTCCCACCTCAGTCTCCTGAGTAGCTGGAACTACAGGCACAGGTCACCATGCCTGGCTAATTTTTTGTATTTTTCCCAGCGAAAGTTTTCACTATGTTGCCCAGGCTGGTCTTGAACTCCTGGGCTCAAATGATCTACATGCTTTGGCCTCCCAAAGTGCTGGGATTATAGGTGTAAGCTGCAGTGCCCATCTTGCTTTACGTGTTAATGTTCCATATATTCATTTATCCAACAAACATGGGCAGAAGCATTAGATAGTTCAGAGAGCTCATTCCCTAGTCATTCTGAATCAGCAGGGTTGTTTAATTGAGCTTTTCCCTCAGTTCAGTTCAGTACCCAAAACCAAAGCTGAGTCCTCCCTCCTCATCCCGGCAGAAGCTCTAGCTCATGATGAAACATGCTTCAGGCTGTTCTGAATTAGCTTGTGGATAGAATTATCCTCAGTGAGGTGACCTGCTGGCCCTGTAAAAGAGAGGAGGAGCGATCTGTTCAGGAAGACCTTTTAAAAATTGTCTTTTGGCAGTGTGGCTCAGATGGTAGAGAAATAGACTGAAGTCAGGGATCTTGGGTTCTAAGCCTTTATTACTACATTGCTGGATGACTCTGGGCTTCCGTTTCTTCACTGTAAAATAAAGAGTTCAACTAGGGGATTTTGTGGCATGGAGAGCAGTGCCCTCTACTAACTGGTGCATGGGATAAAGGATGCTAATAAAATCAAACTAAGGTAAGGCTCAATAATCCTAAAGGCATATGATTCTTTACGGAGATTTAAAAAAATCCTAAGGATGCTAAGGGCTCTTCTCTTGGACACCAGTCCTAGTTTTGATTTTTTTTCCTCTAAGTCAGACCTTCCTTGTACTCTGGGATTCTGGTAAAATCCTCTCCCTCCTAAACTAGACCAGCTGTCAACCCTGTTCTTCCTGTAGGCCATGAGAACCTAGAGTTTTCATCAGGGACTCAGAGCTGTAAACCTGGGCACAACTGGTAACATTCTTTTTTGAAACTCTGTCTCTATAAAAAGTACAAAAATTAGCAGGGCATGGTGGTATGTGCTGTAGTCCTAGCTACTCAGAAGGCTGAGGTGGGAGGATGGCTTCAGCCAGGGAGGTCCAGGCTGCGTCAGCTGTGATCACATCACTGCACTCTAGCCTGGGCCACAGAACGAGACCCTGTTTCAAAAACACATAAACAAAAAACAATTACATGCAAATTAAGGGGCAGGTCAATGCAAACTGAGGTGCCAGTTATTTAGAACTTTCTAGGAAAGGGGCGGAGGGGCAGTAACTTCCAGGTTGTTGCCATGGAAAGGGGTGGTAACTTCCAGGTCATTGCCACGGCATTTGTAAACTGTCATGGTGCTGGCTGGAGTGTCTCATGCAATGAACAATCTAGGGGTCACTTTCGTTGTCATCTGCTGGCTCTTGCTGATTTATTTATGTTATCCTGTCTAGACCAGATCTTGTATTGGTCAGCAGGGTTGTGACCAGAAAACAAGTCCTGCCAGTCTTTTGCCTCATTTCTCACTCACTGTCTTTGTCCCTTCATGGTCGCCAGATATTATAGGACAGGTGAGCCCCAAAATTGAGGCTTAGCCTGGGAGGATTCTTGGCTTTACCCAAGAAAGAATTCAAGGGCGAGTGATGGTGTTGGACAACAATCTGTTATTGAATGGTACTGCTCCTTGCTAGGTGGTTCTAAAGGAACAGATTCTTTTTTTTTTTTTTTTTTTTTTTTTTTTTTTGAGACGGAGTCTCGCTCTGTAGCCCAGGCTGGAGTGGCATTATCTCAGCTCACTGCAAGCTCCGCCTCCCGGGTTCACACCATTCTCCTGCCTCAGCCTCCCGAATAGCTGGGACTACAGGCGCCCGCCACCATGCCTGGCTAATTTTTTTGTATTTTTTAGCAGAGATGGGGTTTCACCGTGTTAGCCAGGATGGTCTTGATCTCCTGACCTCGTGATCTGCCCGCCTCGGCCTCCCAAAGTGCTATGATTACAGGAATGAGCCACCGCACCTGACTGGAACAGACTCTTGGGAATGAGATTTCTGAATTGGTTCTGGAGTTTCTGGAATTGGTTCTCTAATCTGACTTGATTTAAAGGCACTAATGATTTATTTCCAGTAGTAAAGAGCGCTGATAGCCCATGGTTTGTTGTAACAATAGAGATCCACAAAATATCACCACTGGATACTCTTAATCAAATGCTTATCATGGGCAACGTTCTGAGTAACCATGTAATGCGTCTTCAAAGGAAATCCATTGCTGGCTCTTATAGGAAAAGAACTGTCCTTCCCTGCTGTGCCCACCCCCACTTTCCTGTTAATTTAAAGACTTAATACACGAGCTTTGGAAATGGCTGGTTTCACTTTGCTTATTGCTGTAAGCCCTGGGGCTGGGAGCAGCAGTCTAGAGGCAGCACTTCTTGTGTTACTTGGCCAGGAGAAATCCCTTTAGGCAAGGGAAATGGATCATTGCAGTTTCCCTGCTTTTCTATTGCATTTTTAAGAGGCCGTATACTAACAGCAACAACTACAGCAATAGTGAACACTTACATGGCCCTTATTACATACCAGGCATGTAGCTATCAGTGCTGTAGACAGATTCATGTATTTTATCCTTACCACAATCTTAAGAGGCAAGTATTATTGTTCACCCATTTTACAAACGGGGAAACAGAGGCAAAGTCAAATAACTAACAAGAAGGCTGGATTTGAGCCCAGGAAGTCTGGCTCCAGAGCATATACTCTTTTTTTGTTTGTTTGTTTGAGACAGAGTCTTGCTTTGTCACCCAGGCTGAAGTGCAGTGGTGCGATCTTAGCTCACTGCAACCTCCACCTCCCGGATTCAAGCAATTCTCCTGTCTCAGCCTCCTGAGTAGCTGGGATTACAGGTGCCCACCACCAGGCCCAGCTAATTTTTATATTTTTAGTAGAGACGGGGTCTCATCATGTTGGTCAGGCTGGTCTGGAACTCCTGACCTCAGGTGATGCACCTGCCTCAGCCTCCCAAAGTGCTGGGATTGCAGGCGTGAGCCACTGGGGGCACCCTGCCGAGACTATACACTCTTCATGTGCTTGGCTGTTACATAGGCATGTGGTGAATCCTGATCCTGCCATTCTGTGGTTATAAGATCTTGGACTGGACCCTAAAACCCTCTGAGTCTCCACCAGCGAATCTATTATCATTTACAGGAATGATAAAAGCATTCACCTGATAGGGTTTCTGGGAGATTTAAGTGGGATAACAAATGTTTAAGGCTCAGTACAGTGCCTGACACATCATGAGGACTCAGTGAATGGACTGTACATCCACTGAGATGCCAGTGGGTTGTAGGCACAGTCGTTTTGGCCTAGCTCTGATGTCACGGACAGAAGGGAGAGATGGTTGGCAGTAGTCTCCTGGTGACTGCATCACCGTAGGCCAGCTCCAGATTTTGGAGGACAATGAAGAGAGGAGGGACACTAATGGAAGGGGTTCAGTCTTCCACGAGGGGTTAGAAAAATGTTGCTTTGGGAAAGACATTCTGTGCTTAGTCTTCCAGAGAGGCGGGTCAAGGTTGTGAGTAGGAGGCCCCCGAAATGTCCTGCTGCTTGGTAGGCATGCTGCCAGTCTCTCCTCCCTCCCGCTCCCACCGTCATTCATTCTGCTGGCGTATCATCTCTGATGGGCCACATGGAGAGCCGCACCTGTACAGATCCTGTGGATCCCACATAATGATCCACCTGATGAGGCATCTTCATGTCAGCAGGTGATTCTGGACAGTGGGAAGATGGAAGCTAAGGGCCTCCATCTGCCCACATATGTTAGCCTCAGTGTGAATGGTCAGAGGTCACAGGTCACTCATCCAGGCTGGAGAGAATTCACCAAAGTAACCAGATGTAAAAGAGACTACAAGAGGGGAGTGAAGAAGAATTTTATTTAAAACCAAAATTAGGCTGAATATTAGCCTCAGTGTGAATGGTCAGAGGTCACAGGTCACTTGTCCAGGCTGGAGAGAATTCACCAAAGTAACCAGATGTAAAAAAGACTACAAGAGGGGAGTGAAGGCCGGATACGGTGGCTCAGGCTGTAATCCCAGCATTTTGGGGGGCTGAAGCAGGTGGATCACCAGGTCAGAAGTTCAAGACCAGCCTGGCCAAGATGGTGAAACCCCTTCTCTACTAAAAATACAAAAATTAGCTGGGTGTGGTGGCAGGCGCCTGTAATCACAGCTACTCGAGAGGCTGAGACAGGAGAAGTGCTTGAGCCTGGGCAGCAGAGGTTGCAGTGAGCCGAGATGGCACCACTGCACTACAGCCTGGACTATAGAGTGAGACTCTGTCAAAAAAAAAAAAAAAAAAAAAAAGAAAGAAAGAAAGGAAAGGAAAGAAAGAAAAAAAGAAAAAAAAAGAGGGGAGTGAAGAAGAATTTTATTTAAAACAAAAATTAGGCTGAGTGTAGTGGCTTATGCCTGTAATCCCAACACTTTGGGAATCAGAGGCAGGAGGATTGCTTGACAAAAATTTTGTAATAAAATAAAGACAAAAATTAAGCATATTCACAGAATATTCTTCAGCTATAAAAAGCAATGATGTGCTGATACATGCTACATACACGGATGAACCCTGACCACAAGATGCTAAGTGAAAGAAGCAGAGGCAGATGGCTGTGTACTGTGAGTCCATTTATATGAAATGTCCAGAGTAGGCAGAAAGGCAGAAAGCATTTGCCACAGGCTTGCAGGAGGGCTGAAGGAGGAGTGACTGGTAATGGGTATGGGGTTTCTTTTGAGGATGGTGAAAGGTTCTGGAATTACATAGTAGTGATGATTGCACAATATTGTGAATGTATCAAAAGTACCCTTTAATTGTACATTTTAAAATGCTTAAAGTGAGCCAGGTGAGGAGGCTTACGCCTGTAATTTCAGCAATTTGGGAGGCTGAAGCAAGAGAACAGCTTGAGGCCAGGAGTTCAAGACAAGCCTAGGCAACTGGTAGTGAGACACTTATCTCTTAAAAAAAAAAAAAATTAGCTGCGCATGGTGGTGCATGCCTGAAGTCCCACCTACTCCTTGGGAGGCTGATGTGAAAGGATCCCTTGAGCCTAGGAGTTCGAGGCTACAGTGAACTGTTTGTGCCACTGCACTCCAGCCTGAGCAACAGAGACCCTGCTTCTTAAAAAAAAAAATGCATTAAATGTTGTCTTATGTTATGTGAATTTTACCTCAGAAAAATAAAAAACAAAAATTAAGCAATACATTCCAGCATTATGAAATGAATATCAAAGAGCTTATGAATTTTAAAGCTATCATTCTTTCTATTTTTCTGCATATACCAAATTTTCTACATATGGATGAATTGCTTTTTAAAAGCACTCTTTAATTTTGAAACAATTATAGATTCGCAGGAAGTTGCAAAGATAGTACAGAGAAGTCCTGTGTACCTTCAGTTCCCACCACCCCCCACCCCCCCGACTCCCCGCCCTTACAATCTTGCATAACTATAGTAGAATGAAAACCAGGAAGTCACCATTGATACAATGTATATGTATAGTTCTATGCCACTCACAGGTGCAGATTGTGTAATCACCACTGCAGTAAAGACATAAAACTATTCCATCACCACGAAGAGCTTCCTCAGTCTATTCCATTAGAATAACCCATTGCTGGCTGGACATGGTGGCTCTCACCTGTAATCCCAGCACTTTGGGAGGCCGAGGCGGGTGGATCACCTGAGGTCAGGGGTTCGAGACCAGCCTGACCAACATGGTGAAACCCGTCTCTACTAAAAATACAAAAATTAGCAGGATGTGGTGGCGGGCACCTGTAATCCCAACTACTTGGGAGGCTGAAGCAGGAGAATCGCTTGAGTCCAGGAGGCAGAGCTTGCAGTGAGCCGAGAGCATGCCATTGCACTCTAGCCTGGGCAACAGAGTGAGTCTCAAAATAATAATAATAACCCATTGTCCTCCTCCCCACCAATCCTAACTGGGTAGATGCCCATCTGTTCTACATCTCTGTGATTTTGTCATTTCAAGATGGTTCTGTAAATGAAATCATATAGAATGTGACCTTTTGAGATGGGCTTTTTTCACTGGCATAATACCCCTGAAGTCCATGCAGCTTGTTGTGCATGTCAATAGGGTTGGCCTTTTTTTATTGCTGAATAGTATTCTATGGTATGGATGTACCATGGTTTGCCTAATTATTTACCTCTTGAAGGATATTTCAGTTGTTGCTAGATTTGGGCTTTTACAAATAAAGCTACTATGGACATTCATGTGCAGGTTTTTTGGTAGATGTAAGTGTTATTTTTCTGGGATAAATGCCCAAGAGTACAGTTGCTGGGTCATGTGGTAATCATATGTTTAGTTTTTTAAGAAATTGCTAGGCCAGTCACAGTGGCTCACGCCTATAGTCCCAGCACTTTGGAAGGACAAGGTGGCAAGCTAGCTTGAACCCAGAAGTTCAAGACCAGCCTGGGCAACACAGTGAGACCTTCTCTCTAAAAAAAAAATAAGATAAAATAAGCTGGGCTTGGTGGCATGTGGCTGTGGTCCCAGCTATTCAGGAGGCTGAGATGGGAGGATCACTTGAGCTTGGGAGGTTGAGGCTGCAGTGAGCCGTGGTTGTGCCACTGCATTCCAGCCTGGGCAACAGACAAAGACCCCATCTCAAAAAAATTAAGTTTAATTTTAAGAAAGGAAGACTGCCAAATCAGTTTCCAGGGTGGCTGTGCCATATTATACTCCACGAGCAATGCATGAGTGACTCAGTTTCTCTGCATCCTTGCCATCACTACTTCTATTATTTTATTTTATTTTTATTTTTTCTAGGGATGGGGTCTCCCTATGTTACCGGGACTGGTCTTGAACTCCTGAGCTCAAGCAATCCTCCCACGTCAGCTTCCCAAAAGCCATCACTATTTTAAAATTTAGCTGGTGTAAAGGGTGATAGCTCCTCATGGTCTTAATTTACATTTCCCTAACGATAGTGATGTGGATGTTGAATAGCTTATCATGTGCTCTTCAGCGAATCCTTTTCATATCTTTTGTCTGTTTTCTAATTAGATTGTTTTCACTGCTGAATTTTGAGTTACTTATATATTGTAGATTATATATATATATATCTACTGTAAAGTCCTCTGTCAGAATGTGTGGTTTGCAAATATTTTCTCTGAGCCTGTAGTTTGTCTCTTCATCCTCTTAACAAGGTCTTTCCCAGAGCAAAAGTTTTTTATTTTTATTTATTTGGTTAGTTTTTGAGACAGGCTAGAGTGCAAACTAGACAGGGTAGAGGCTGTCGCCCAGGCTAGAGTGCAGGGGTGCAAGCTTGGCTCACTGCAACCTATGCCTCCCAGGTTCAAGCGATTCTCCTGTCTCAGCCTCCTGAGTAGCTGGGATTACAGGCATGCACCACCATGCCCGGCTACTTTTTTGTATTTTTAGTAGAGACGGGGTTTCACTATGTTGGCCAGGCTGGTCTTGAACTCCTGATCTCAGGTGATCCACCCGCCTTGGCATTCCTAAGTGGTAGGATTACAGGCGTGAGCCACCGCGCCCGGCTGTTTTTTAATTTTTATAACGTTGAATCTACTGATTTTTTCTTTTATAGATTGTACTTCTTGGTGTTGTGTTTTTCTTGCTGAAGCCCTAAATCCTGAAGATTTTCTCCTAAAACATGTTATAGTTAGGAATTACTTTTTGAAAAGCCTTTTTTAAAAATATGTAAAAGAAATACATGCTCATTGTAGACAATTTGGAATATTTAAAAAGCTCAAAGAGAAAATTTAAATCACTAATAATACAAACGTCCAGAAATATGTTTTGGTATTAGATGCTGGGACTTGCAACTTTAATAAAAATGTGACCTATTAGGTTGGCACAAAAGTAATCGCGGTTTCTGCCATTACTTTTGTGCCAACCTAAATATTTTATAATGGGAAAACAGCAGCCTTCAACAGTAAACCGCACTAGTGAGTACCAACTGGGAGTGCCGAAGGAGAGGCCTCTCTCCTAATGCTGAGATCAGCTGAGGGAGTTGCCATTCAGAAAAGACCAAGAACTACTGACCCAAACGTTAAAACTCATGTTTATGAACCGCAGCTGTTAGTCACAGGCTGTAATTACCCCCACCAGATAAGGAAGCTATTTAAGAGAGCAGGTTGCTACAGCTGAAGAGAAACAGAAAATAGAGTCTTTTTGGAAATCAGAGGATTGTAACTAAGGGAAATGTCAGGTTTGAAGGTGGAATGGATCTTTGTGTATTTGCTGGCTTGGAGACAGACAGGATGATCTAGCAAGAGGATGGCCAAGCCTTGGCTCCTGTACTGTTTTGTTGGAGAGTAATCTGTTGAGGTTCCCTTTTTCAAGCCCTGGTATGTATGGGCTTCTGACAGTAAGCATCCTCCCAGCCTACCCACTTCTGATTCCTGGGTGTCTGAACTCTGGCTCTTGCCCCACCTCCCTTCACCTGCCTGACTTCTTGGTCACATGGTAACAGCTGTGATCAGAGCGGTGGACCCTAGCAGCACTCCACCCCCATACCTCCCTACAACAAACTTGAGCTACTCTTAAAATGAAGCATTCGTTATTTCCAAGACATCTCTCCCTACCTCCTACCTCCAACCTTCCAGGAAGCTGATATTCCAGTGAAATCTGCTGTTCAAATTCTTTTATGAAGTTAAGAAACAATCCTGAATTGATTTGGTCAGTCTAGATGTTCATATAACAGGATTGCACCCAATGGAACACTGCTTGAATTACTTGACCTAACTTGCAAAGAAAATCTTATTTTTTGATGACCAAGTAAGAATCACTGTTGTTTGTTGAATACTGAGGAATCAGGTGAAATTTCTGGATGGTAATAGACAAAAAAATTCATAAATATTTAGATTAAAAGTTAATTTTGCTGGGCGTGGTGGCTCACGCCTATAATCCCAGCACTTTGGAGGAGGCTGAGGCAGGCAGATCACAAGGTCAAGAGATCAAGACCATCCTGGCCAACATGGTGAAATCCCGTCTCTACTAAAAATACAAAAATTAGCTGGGCGTGGTGGTGCATGCCTGTAGTCTCAGCTACTTGGGAGGCTGAGGCAGGAGAATTGCTTGAACCCGGGAGGCAGAGGTTGCAGTGAGTTGAGATCGCACCACTGCACTCCAGCCTTGTGACAGAGTGAGACTCCACCTCACACACACACACACAAAGTTAATTATTTGGTGAAAAGTGCAACCTACATGTCCATCAAAAGGGAACTGGTCAACTTAAATTATGATTCACCAATACAAAAGCTCAACATTTATTATTGACATGAAAAAGTGCCTACATATATTGAATTAAAAAGAGGGTGATAAATTAACAGGTAAAATTGTATCCTATGTTTTAAAATGCATTGAGAAAGCAATATATCAAAATATCATCAGTGGTAATCACAGGTTGATTAAATTATGGTGAATTTTATTCTTTCCTCAGTTTTCCAAGTGTGATTGCATTGAGTTTATACTGTATTGCATTAATAATCAAAAAAAGTCAATGAAGTGAGTTTGGTTAATGGGTACCACTATACATCTAAATAGAATAAATAAGTCTTAGTGTTCCAGAGATCAGTAGGATGACTATAGTGTATGATAATCTATTGTACATTTATAAATATCTAGAAAAGAATGATTTGCATGTAGTTCTAGCATAAAGGCATATTTAAGATGATGATTATCCAAGTACATGGATCCAATCTTTACAAATTATATGATTGTATTAAATTAGCACACATGTTCTGAAAATATATACATCTATTATATATAAATTTAAATAAATAAGTGATTTTAAAAATCATAAAAAGGATCCTAATTCTGTGGCATGTCAAAGAGAACTGTATATGTAGTTTACCTTTTTATTTTATTTTATTTTTTTGGAGACAGGGTCTCACTCTGTCACCCAGGCTGGAGTGCAGTGGCATGATCACTGCTCATTGCAGCCTCAACCTCTCACGCTTAAGTGATCCTCCCACCTCAGCCTCCCAAGTAGCTGAAACTACAGATGTGCACCACCACACCAAGCTAGCTTTTTATACGTTTTGTACAGACCACTTTTACCATGTTGCTTAGGCTGCTCTCCAACTCCTAGGCTCAAGCGATCTGCCCACTTTGGCCTGCCAGAGTGCTGGTGTTACAGGCATGAGCCATCAAGTTTACCATTTTTATTTACTAGTTGTATAATATAACTCATAAAAAGTTGATAGTTAAAAGTAGCCAAAGGGGACAAAGAGTAGAAGGGGAAAAGTAAGAGTTCTCTCCCTTGTGAATCCTCAGTCTCCCTCCATATGTAACTATGGTCAATAAAAATGCGCATTGAAAGTAGAAATTGAGCAGTGAGAGCAGATGGGATATATGAAAGCTCATGTGAAGAGGCATGAGACAGCTCTGTAGACAGGTGAATGAAACTCACCAGCCTACTGCTTGCCATCTCCTCATAATCACCCTGCCCTTCAAATAAGGGAAGTCCTCTCCTTACACTCTGAACACATGGGTTCCAAGAGACAGTGACGCCCATTCAGGCAAGTTAGCATGAGCTCTAAAACCCAAGGGAATCAAGGCAAGTTCCAATTTCATAGTACGTTGAAGCAGTGAGTCACAAAGCAATAGGCCTGAATTTACTTTTTTTATAGTTTCATAGCAGACTCCTCATCCTCCCTCCATTCTTCAGCTTAAATATCACTTCCTTAGAGAAAAGACAAATTGGCTAAATTGGTGCAGCCCCTCCATCCTCTATCACCGCTCCCTGGTAATAGCCTTGGGAGAACTTACTATGGTTTGTTATTTTTAATTTAATTTATTTATGACTTACCTCTACCTTCCCTCTCTCCTCAGATTGTAAACTTCATGAGGGCAGGAACCGTGTGTTTAAACTGGTCTTTGTTTAGTCAGTGTATAGCCCCCCACAATGGGCATTTAATAAATATATGTTGAGGCCAGGTGCAGTGGCTCACGCCTGTAATCCCAACACTTTGGGAGGCAGAGGCGGGCAGATCACGAGGTCAGGAGATCGAGACCATCCTGGCTAACATGGTGAAACCCCGTCTCTACTAAAAATACAAAAAATTAGCCGGGTGTGTTGGCGGGCGCCTGTAGTCCCAGCGACTCAGGAGGCTGAGGCAGGAGAATGGCGTGAACCTGGGAGGCGGAGCTTGCAGTGAGGCGAGATCGCGCCACTGCACTCCAGCCTGGGCGACAGAACAAGACTCCGTCTCAAAAATAAATAAATAAATAAATAAAAATAAATATATGTTGAATGAACGACAGAAGAACAAGATGGAAAACGTTACAAGTCCACCTTTGAAGTGAATCTCTCATTTTGTTAACGTTTTAGATAATGGCTGACCTTTGAATGGTCTGTTCATGCCTTCACTCGTTCTTTCATGGAGTAATCAACCAACTTTTATTAAAAGCCTATTATTTGGCTGGGTGAGGTGGCTCACAGCTGTAATCCTAGCACTTTGGGAGGCCCAGGCCGGCGGATCACTTGAGGTCAGGAGTTGGAGACCAGCCTGACCAACATGGCAAAACCCTGTCTCTAATAAAAATAAAAAATTATCAGGGCGTGGTGGCGCATGCCTGTAGTCCCAGCTACTCAGGAGGCTGAGGCACGAGAATCGCTTGTGCCCAGGAGGCCAAGGTTATGGTGAGCTGAGATAGCACCACTGCAGTCCAGCCTGGGTGACAGTGAGACCCTGTCTCAAAAAAAAAAAAAAAAAAGAAAAAGAAAAAAGAAAAAGAAAAGAGCCTATTATTTGCCAGACCCTGTGCTAGGTGATAGGGACGGAGGTGCCTCATGGAATGCTCAGTCTAGCAAAGAAGATAAAACACGTGAGTATGATCTAGGGAGATATAGGCTATGATGTGGGTAATACAGGGTTTAGCGGAGCACTGAGGCAGGTATTTCCTGACCTTTTCCTGCAGCTGATTTTTTCTCTGCTAGGTCACCCTGAGACATCCACTCAAACCAAATCACTTCATATCCAAAATGTTGATTTGATATATCTGGAAGTTCCAATAGAAAGACCATTATGAACGTTTTAAGCAGAGGGTAATTGATGTAAGAGAGTGACACCATAAAGAACAAATAAGCCAGAGGGACAATTTTCAAAGCGATTTCTGCAAAGTAGGGCTTTCTAAAGTGCACTCTCTCTTTCTTCCTCTTTCCCTCCATCCTTTTCTCCTTCCCTCCCTCCTTCCTTTTCTCTGTGTCTCTCACACAGAGCTCAGACACAAGACACAGAGAAGCAAATGTTTTCGGACTCGATGACTTCAGCGGATTAGCGCTCCTTTGAAAGTGATATTGTTACAGCCATAACGTGTTTATGTGTAACACAGACATCTTTATATAGAATACAGACATGTCTGTGTGGGGAACGCTAACATCCTGGCCTTGCCATTTAGTAAGGTAGGAAGTTCAACCTAGGACTACAGATCCCTAAAGCTTTGGGGAGGCTTGATACGGGGAAGAGGGGAACTGGAGAGAAGAGGGGAGATTTCTTTAAGGGTTATTTATCTTCCCCCACTCCCCTTCTAACTCTCCTGGGCCTAACTCCTACATTCTGAGAAAGGATCCCTTTCCAACACAGCTGTGATGGCTGTCAGGCAGAGGGTTCCTTGTTGAGGATAGCAGTCATCAAAAAAAGGATCAGGCAATTAGAAGCTGCTGGTAAATCACAGAGACACCACAGTCACCGCAGTGAGAGTTCCATTTTCTTTTCTTTTCTTTTTTTGTTTTTCTTTTCTTTCTTTTCTTTTCTTTCTTTCTTTCTTTCTTTCTTTCTTTCTTTCTTTCTTTCTTTCTTTCTTTCTTTCTTTCTCTTTCTTCTTTCTTTCTTTCTTTCTTTCTTTCTTTCTTTCTTTCTTTCTTTCTTCTTTCTTTTCTTTCTTTTTCTTTTCTTTTTTTTTTTTTTTGACAGAGTCTCGCTCTGTCACCCAAGCCGGAGGGCAGTGGTGAGATCTTGGCTCACTGCAACCTCAACCTCCCGGCTTCAAGCGATTCTGGTGCCTCAGCCTCCCTGGTAACGGGGACTACAGGTGTGCGCCACCATGCCTGGCTAATTTTTGTATTTTTTAGTAGAGACCTACAACTTTTTAGAGGCCGATTTTTAGCCACCATGCCCAGCCAGTTACTACATATTTAATTTAAGAACTAGTACTTGGGCTGGGCATGGTGGCTCACACCTGTAATCCCAGCACTTTGGGAGGCTGAGGAGGGATCACTTGAGCCCAGGAGTTCAAGATCCACATTGGCAATGTGGTGAAACCCTGTCTCTACAAAAAGTACAAAAATTAGCTGGGTGTGGTGGTTCGCACCTGTAGTCCCAGCTCCTTGGGAGGCTGAGGTGGGAGGATCGCTTGAGCCTGAAAGGTAGAGGTTGTGGTGAGCCAAGATCGTGCCACTGCGCTCCAGCCTGGAGTGAGATGCTGTCACAAAAATAAATAAATAAGCAAATAAAAAGTAATTAAAATTGGCCTGGTGTGATGGCTCACGCCTATAATCTCAGAACTTTGGGAGGCCGAGGTGGGCAGATCACAAGGTCAGGAGTTTGAGATGCAGCCTGGCCAATATGGTGAAACCCCATCTCTTCTAAAAATACAAAAAAAATTAGGTGGGTGTGGTGGCGCACACCTGTAATCCCAGCTACTCGGGAGGCTGAGGCAGGAGAATTGCTTGAACCCAGGAGGCAGAGGTTGAGGTTGTGGTGAGCCGAGATCACGCCACTGCACTCCAGCCTGGGTGACAGAATGAGACTCCATCTCAAAAAAAAAAAAAAAATAAGCAATTTAAATTAAATAAATTAAAAATTCAGCTCCTCATTCACACCAGTCACACATTTTGAGTACTCAGTAGCCACATGTGGCTAGTGACTATCATATTACACTATGAGGCTTTAGAGGAAATAACTATTACAAATTTGATGCAGAATCTTCTTGCTTTTTCTTTATGTATCTACACATGAAAATAAAGACGTAATTAGACAAATATATATATTACACATATTTGGATTTTTGCTTCAGAAAAAATGTGATCATACTATTTATTTTACTCAAAAGGCTAATTTTTTTCACTTAGTTATATTTTGGATCTTTTTCCTTTTCAATATATATATATAGGGATCTGCATTCTTAGATTTACTTAACTACTTCCCTACTAATAGGCATATGAGTTGTTTTTGGTATTTTGCAGTTATAAACATCCATGTCTGCATACTTGTGCTAGGATTTCCATAGTTATTTCCCAAGAATAGACATTTATGGGCCAAAGGGTATGCCCATTACAAAATTTGAAATCTGGCTGGGCATGGTGGCTCATGCCTGTAATGCCAGCACTTTGGGAGGCTGAGGCAGGAGGATTGCTCTGGGCCAGGAGTTTGAAACCAGCCTGGAAAACACGGCAAGTTCCCTGTCTCTACAAAAGATTAAAAAAAAATTAGGGCTGGGCACGGTGGCTCATGCCTGTAATCCCAGCACTTTGGGAGGCCAAGGCAGGCGGATCATGAGGTCAGGAGATCGAGACCACGGTGAAACCCCATCAATACTAAAAATACAAAAATTTAGCCGGGCACAGTGGCAGGTGCCTGTAGTCCCAGGTACTCGGTAGGCTGAGGCAGGAGAATGGTGTGAACCTGGGAAGCAGAGCTTGCAGTGAGCCGAGATCAGCCACTGCACTCCAGCCTGGGTGACAGAGTGAGACTCTGTCTCAAAAAAAAAAAAAAAAAAAAAACTAGCCAGGCCTGGTGGCATATGCTTGTAGTGCCAGCTACTTGGGAGGCTGAGGTGGGAGGATCACTTGAGCCTCAGAGATAGAGGCTGCAGTGAACCATGATCATGCCACTGCACACTAGCCTGGGTGGCAGGGCAAGATGCTGTCCCCCCCAAAAAAATTAAACGAAATAATAAAAAATTTGAAAGCTAATATCAAATTACCCTCCCAATAGTTATGCCAATTTTTCTCATACACTCTTTGCTGGCATTCCTCTCCGGCACCTGCAGATGCTTTAAATGCCAGAATCATAAAATATTGGAAAGAAAAAGCCTTAGAGATTATCTGTTCCAGTTCTTTCATTTTATGGGCCAGGAAAATCAAGCCTAAGCTGAGGGAAGGGGCTATATGCACAGCATATTCATGGCACAGCTGGGACTGAAGCAGATCTCCAGGTTCTTGCCCTCTGTCCAGTGTGTGCAGGAGAGCCTGGCAGAGTCTTTCCAACACATCCTCTGGAAGGTCATTCCTCCTCCTGCTCAGTGGTCTGCCCCTCGCTCCCCCTTTATTATCATCAGCCCAGCACTGGCCAGATCAGCAGGTCTTTCAATGGAGCATCACACTGCGCCTCAGTGAGCAAGGAGCTCAGAGCCAAGAGAATCTTTCCTTGACATTTGTATCCAAAATTGAATTCAGTCTGCTCAAATGCTCGCTACACTTTCAAAATGTGCCTTTCCTACCTTCCTTCTGCTGAGCACAACCAAGTCATAGACCCAGGCAGAAGGGAGGAAAAAAAAAGGTATTCTGTTGCATGCAGAAATAAATTTCACTAGTCAGCCATTTAAGATGGGCTGACTCGGACACATTTTGCCTTTAATAGGAGTCACTTTGGGAGGACAGAGGCAGAAGGTCCTTCTAGGCCACTCTCAAGCTGGTGGGGCTGGTGAGATCTTGGAGGATTCTCACATGCCAGTAAGATAGGCTTCTCCTGAGGATTCCCTAGAGCTTTACAGAGTCCGTGAATACAGGTGCCTCTCACAGAATCCTTACAGGGTAGGCTGAGTAGGGAGGTTATGGGGCTTTCCTTGTCAAATGCTTATTGGTGGTTAGAAACCATCTCTCTTGACTCCATCTCCAGATGCTTTCCTTTTCCACATTAGTCCCTGGACCCATGCTATTTCCTGCAGAGCCATAATGAGCCTGGGTCCTCTATCGCTCGGTCTGCTTCCTGCACCCCCAGCCCAATCTCATTACAGGCATTAAAAAAACCACACAAACCAAAACAAACCAGCCCATTTGCTTTTGCTACACATTTATTTATTTATTTGAAAATTTGGCTGGGCATGGTGGCTCACACCTGTAATCCCAGCACTTTGGGAGGCCAAGGCAGGCGGATCATGAGGTCAGGAGATTGAGACTATCCTGGCTAACACGGTGAAACCCCATCTCTACTAAAAATACAAAAACAAAAAAATTAGCCGGGTGTAGTGGCGGGCCCATGTAGTCCCAGCTATTCAGGAGGCTGAGGCGGGAGTATGGTGTGAACCTGGGAGGCGGAGCTTGCAGTGAGCCAAGATCACGCCACTGCACTCCAGCCTGGGTGACAGAGCAAGACTCCATCTCAAAAAAAAAAAAAAAAATCAATTCCGACAGTTTAATTATATTTATATTTCTTCCTCTCTTGTCTAACTTCCCCTCATTCTGGCCAATTACAAGGCCTTTATCTTTTTTCTTTTTTGAGATGGAGTCTCACCCTGTCACCCAGGTTGGAGTGCAGTGGTGCGATCTTGGCTCTCTGCAACCTCCGCCTCCAGGGTTCAAGCGTCTCTCCTGCCTCAGCCTTCCAAGTAGCTGGCATTACAGGCATGCGCCACCACGCCCAACTAATTTTTGTATTTTTAGTAGAGACGGGGCTTCACCATGTTGACCAGGCTGGTCTTGAACTCCTGACCTCGTAATCTGCCAGCCTCGGCCTCCCAAAGTGCTGGGATTACAGGCGTGAGCCTCTGCACCTGGCCTACAAGGCCTTTTTCACATACTGGCACCAAGAGGCCAAAATTCCGTTAGAAGAAAAAAGTCTCCTGTTTTTGCTACATGTTGCCAGATGTTTCATGCTCCTATACCTGGGACTCCTTTTGGTCCTCATTTTAATATTTCTGATGTTTCTTTATTCTGGAAAGAAAGAAAAGAGGTATCACAATAGGAAAAGATGATAGGAGAGGGGAGGGAAGCAGAGAAGCAAACTAAGGATTTCTTTTATACTGTATTAACACATCATTATAAAATATCATTAAAAGGCTTCTGACTATGTCACCCTAGGTACATCCTCAACCCCTAGATGCAATTCATCAGCAGGCCTTGTTGATTTTTACTTATGCGGTATTTCTCAAGTCTATCCACCTCTTTCCATTTCAGTCATCATCACCCTAATTCAGTCTTCCCCTAGTTGGCTCCTGTCAACTTGCCCCTCTAGTGCATTTTCCACATTGTAGACCAAATGATCAAAAAAGGACTTTTGGCCAGCCATGGTGGCTCATGCCTGTAATCCCAACACTTCGGGAGGCCGAGGCAGGCGGATCACTTGAGGTCAGGAGTTTGAGACCAGCCTGGCCAACATGGTGAAACCCCGTCTCTACTAAAAAAATTACAAAAATTAGCCAGGCTTGCGGTGTGTGGCTGTAATCCCAGCTTCTAGGGAGGCTGAGGCAGGAGAATTGCTTGAACCTGGGAGGCAGAGGTTGCAGTGAGCTGAGATCACGCCACTGCACTCCAGCCTGGGTGACAGAGCGAGACTCCGTCTCAAAAAAGAAAAAAAAAGAAAAAAGAAAAAAGGACTTTTAAGCCTCATGCCAAATGCTGTAGGAAATAATAATAACAATCATCATCACCATTGTTAAAATTTCTGAGTGCTTACTGTGTACCAGGTGCCATTTTTAATGCTCTCATGTCTAATTCATTTAATCCTTACAATAATGCTAGATGATCAATATTATTATTCTGATTTTAGAGATGAACACGTGGAAGCACAGAGATGTATGTAATTTGCCCAAGGACACACAGCAGTGTAAGCAGCTACTTTAGGAACTCAGATCTGTAAGAGTTATTAAAAAAAATGTTCCAGGCATTAATGTGTGTGTATTTGGCAATGCTGGAGGGGTCACAATCAAGTATAAATTGTTGTACAGGCCCCGCAGGAGAGCAGGTGAGTCATTTTGTCACCAATCGATTGGAAGTAGGTGTCTGGACTGCTGGGCTGTGAACAATTGTGAGACTACATCTGGGCCCAGTGGGAAACTGTGAGGGATTAAGAGGGAGGTCTGTCTTGGGCCAGCCTCCTGGCTCGAGTGGGGTGGATACTTGTTTTCTATTGCTGGTGCAACCAATTACCATACATTTCATGGCTTAAAAGAACACAAATTTATTATTTTACAGTTGTGGAGATCCAGAGTCCCAAATGGGTCTCATTAGGCTAAAATCGAGGTGTTGGCAGCTTTGCATCTCCTTCTCAAGGCTTTCCAGGAGAATCTGTAGTAGTGCGCCTGTAGTTTCAGCTATTCAGGAGGCTGAGGTAGGAGGATCACCTGAGCCTGAGGAGGTCATGGCTACAGTGAACTGTGATCGCTGCCACTGCACTGCAGCCTGGATGACAGAGTGAGACCCGTCTCAAAAAACAAAAAATAAATAAAAGAACTTTTGTGAGTGCATTGGGCTCACTCAGGTAACCCAGGATAATCTCCCCATCTCAAAGCCCATGCCATATTCATATCTGCAAAGTCCCTTTCACCATGTAAAGTAACATATTCGCGGGTTCCTGGGATTATGGCATGGATCTCTTGGCAGGGGGCATTATTCTGCCTACCCCAGGGGCTAATGGCATCATGTGATGAGAGTGCTCCCCTGGAACCAGGCTCTGTCTAGCCCTGAGAGCACACGGACCCCAGTCTTATTTACTTTGGTATGTTTCATGTCTGCCATAATAGATGTGCAAATCTTTGATGAATGAATAAATGAAAGAACTGATAACAAATACACAGAGTGATAGGGTATCTGTCTTAGGAACGTAAGAAAAAACCGCCACTTTTAACATGGAAATTTGGAGGGGATCTTTTTCTAAATTTTAATGGGGATCCCATAGTTTGGGCAGTGCCAAAGTTAATAGTGGTAACTGAGATTAATATATGTATTGTTTTTTGAGACACAGTCTCGCTCTGTCACCCAGGCTGGAGTACAGTGGCATGATTTCGGCTCACTGCAACTTCTGCCTCCCGAGTTCAAGTGATTCTCCCGCCTCAGCCTCCCAAGTAGCTGGGATTACAAGCACATGCCACCACACTCATCTGATTTTTATATTTTTAGTAGAGACAAGGTTTCACCATGTTAGCCAGGCTGGTCTCAAACTCCTGACCTCAGGTGATCCACCCGCCTTGGCCTCCCAAAGTGTTGGGATTACAGGTGTGAGCCACCACGGCCGGCCACTGAGATTAGTATTAAGCAGATCTCAGCGCTGAATGAACTTCTGCATTTTTTGCCAGTCTTTTCTTGACATCATTGTCTTTTAACTGGCCCAGGGGGCAGAAGTCTGTTAAAGGAGAAGTATATAGAATCCATTCACTTATATGGAAGATGCTGGGACGAAGGGGTGAGAAATGAGCCCAGGAACAGGCTCAGTCTCCCATAGGGAGAACACATCTCCTTTCTTGGCTGCAGCAGCAGTTCTGCCTGGAGCCACACCACTCAGCCCCAGATAAAGTCAGGTCTTCCAGGAGCTCCCACTCTGGTCAGGATTTAGTTCAAGATATCTTAACATGATTTACAAGGCCCCACCTACTCTGACTCTTTTCTGCCTCTCCAGCCTTGCCCCACACGCCACCCAATCCTGTCACTCTGGCCTCCCCATGAACACCCACGGCCACCCACCTTCCTGCCTCAGGGCCTTTGACATGCAATTCCCCAATTCTGGAATACTCCTGCTACTTTATTTTGCCTGGTTAATACCTACTTATCCTTGAGGCTTGGCCTAAAATCTCATCCTGAAAGATATTTTCTTTAATCTTCAAATCTAAATCAGCACCCACTTCCTCACCCAGGTTATATAAAAAAAAAAATGGTATGGTATCAGGAACTTGGGATGGGGACTCAGACTGACTTTGTATTCTAACTCCACCACTCCAGAGCTGCGTGACCTTGGGTGATACATGTAAACCTCCATGTCTCTATTCATGTCTAAAATGGAGCTATTGGTAGTACCTACTGCAGAGAATTGTTATGAGAATTAAATGAGATCATGCATGTAGAAACTTTGGCAGAGTGCTACTATCAGTAGAAGCTACTATTTTCCTTTACAGCATTGATCAAAATTGCAATTATAAAATTATTATCATTATTTTTTGGAAGACAGAGTTTAGTTCTTGTCGCCCAGGCTAGAGTGCAATGGTGCAATCCTGGCTCACTGCAAACTCTGCCTCCCGGGTTCAAGTGATTCCCCTGCCTCAGCCTCCCGAGTATCTGGGATTACAGGTGCCCGTCCACCACGCTCAGCTAATTTTTGTATTTTTAGTAGAGACAGGGTTTCACCATGTTGGCCAGGCTGGTCTCAAACTCTATTATTTGTTTCATATCTGTTTTCCTACATATAGTAAACCCTACAGGGGCAACACAATATCCCTCCTGTCCTCCATTGTATCTGCAGTGCCCAGCATGCCACCTGCAATATTGTAGGCCTTCAGTAGATATATCTTGAATGGATGGATGGATGGATGGATGGATGGATGGATTACCTGGGTTGAGTTCCATGAAAAAGTGCCCCTTTGTCAGGAAATAATCAATATTATTAAAGAACATTATGTGGAAATTTTCAATCGTCAGTCTGGACTTATTAAAATTAGAAGTTGTCAGGCACAATACTCACTGTCTCTCCATTTCTGGGGCCTGTTCTCATGCAGGGCCTTGTGATGCTCATTGCCAGGCAGATTTATGAAACATCTCGACAGGGCTTACATTCCATATGTTACAATTTACACATTCCTGCTGAGGTCAAGGTGGGGAATGGCATGCGTGCTAATAGCTGTGTTTCTCACATGAACTTTCACATAAACCCTTTTTCCAGCTCATTTTAGTGATATAATATACTTTTGTAAACGATTTTTTTCAAGGTCATAAATGAACGCTTCCTAATTTCCATTTTTCAGAGGATTACAAGTCTAGAAAGGGCAACTGGAGGTTTCTGAGCCTAGCTGCTTCCACTGGCAGCAACTTTATCTGAACCGTCCTCAAAGATCTCCAGGGAGACAAAGGACCACATTTCTCAATGGAGTCCCACAACGTCCCTCCAGTTTTCCCCTCCTCAGGTCTCAAGGATACTACTCCAGGGGATGATGGCAGTGTGTGGTGTCGATCCTGCATATAAGAATGTTTGAAGTCCGAGAAAAAGTGCTCTTTTGTAGAAAACATCCAACAAAATTGCTCAAACAAAATGGCCAGTGTTGAGCCAGTTCGCATGTGGCTGGATGCCTCCCCCTGAGTTTTTGCTTCTTGGCAAGGAGGCCGACCAACATCAGTCTTCCTGTGCTTTAATTTTCCTTCTGACCTGAATTGTCAGTCACACTCTATCTTTGTTCCATTTGTCAAAATGCCATTGTTCTCTCTCTTCCCTGTGGTAGTTTCTTCTCTATTGTTAAAAAAAAAAAGTCAGAGCTGCTGTGGGTCGATGGAAGCAGGTCTTACTGGCTGTGCAGTTTGGCACGTGGCCCCAAGCCAGTCTCATCTTCAGTGTTCACAGACCGTGGAAATCATCTCCTGCCATATAACTCGGGCTCCATCATGAGCCTAAAACTCACAAAAGAGTTTCTGTCACCAATTGTTCTGTGTCAGGGCCATGACATACTGAATGGTGGGTTCCTATAACAGGGCACATTCTCTTTCCAGATAAAATATATTTACATAAAATAGTAAGCTCAGTACAAAAAAAATACATTATTTTTCTAAGAGAAATGTCTGGTAGGTCTGCTTTTTGAAGGGTCTGTTGCTCTAGAGACACGTGTTGTTTAGTGTTGACCTGGGCCTGTGTTCAGGAACCCCAGTAGCAATTTCATGTGATGACAGGATAACTAAGACATTTTAGATGCTGAGGAGAAAATAATTCTGGATGCTCCCACAATCATGAATTGTTTTCTCCCCATTGTTAACATTATTTGCCCAAAGAATGCCTTTTACAACAGAATTTACAATTCAAGACCTATATTAGGTTGTGTTCTAAATGCTGCTTAAAGAGAAAAGTGATTTTTTCAAATATCAATAAGTGATACGTTTTTCTGTCCTTGTAAATTACCATTCTAAAATTTGTTGGGATCATTTACTAAATAGATTTATTCTTTTTTTTGTTTTGAGATGGAATCTTGCTCTGTCCCCCAGGTTGGAGTGCAGTGGCACGATCTCGGCTCACTGCAACCTCCACTCCTGGGTTCACACCATTCTCCTGCCTCAGCCTCTGGATTAGCTGGGACTACGCACCTGCCACCACACCCGGCTGATTTTTTTTTGTATTTTCAGTAGAGACGGGGTTTCACCGTGTCTCGATCTCCTGACCTTATGATCCACCCTCCTCGGCCTCCCAAAGTGCTGGGATTACAGGCATGAGCCACCGCGCCCAGCCCGATTCTTTTTTTTTAAACAAGGATTATTGGGAACTGAATTGGGCAGTTTAGTGAACCCATGAAGAGAATATCCTATCAACTTCTAGAGAGAAAACCCTAGTTGTACATATTGGTTCAAGACTCATAATGGATTTGGATTTCTCAAAAGCAATGCTAGAAGTTAACAGCAAAGAACAATGTCTCCAAAGTCTGAGAAAAAATTATGTTCAATGTATAATCATATAAACAGCTAAATATCAGTCAAGAAAAGGCTAGAATAAAGTTATTTTCAAATATACAAAGCTCCCTCAAGGGCCTCCCCACCTTTTTTCATCCCACTCTGGCCCCAGAGGCTGACGTGTATGGATTGCACCATCGGGCTTCTTA
This sequence comes from Homo sapiens, assembly GCF_000001405.40. Classification (NCBI taxonomy): domain Eukaryota; kingdom Metazoa; phylum Chordata; class Mammalia; order Primates; family Hominidae; genus Homo; species Homo sapiens. The sequence goes on along the minus strand of NC_000011.10, from coordinate 32,452,068 downwards.
GCCTTCCACTTCCAGTAGCGTTTGGCCAATGGGAAATAGTGACAGAGCCTGGAGGGAGAAAGAAGAATGAGGTCAGGCTCTGTGTTCCTTGGCTCCTTCCCTGCTAAGTCAGCTCAAGTTAACAATGTTCCTTTCAGAAGTTCAGCCTTTCTGTACCGTAGGCTTCTCCACTCTCTCCAGTTCCTCTCTGTCTGGGTTCTAGAACCACTCACTCCTCTTCCCTCCTCTCTCAGCCACAGGGATGGTAACAGACTCCCTGCAGTGTCTAGAGCCAGGGGACTTCACTACCCCTCACTCATTTCCCTTAACCCTGCCCACACCTTTTAAAATAGACCCTTCATTACAGCCTGGCCTCCATGGTGAAACCTTGTCTCTACTGAAAATATAAAAATTAGCTGGGCATGGTGGTGTATACCTGTAGTCACAGCCACTTGAGAGGCTGAGGCAGGAGAATCACTTGAACCTGGGAGGCGGAGGTTGTACCACTACACTCCAGCCTGGGCAACATAGTGAGACTCTCTCTCAAAAAACAACCAACCAACCAAACAAACAAAAAAACAGACTGTTCATTAAGTGTTCCTCGATTGCCCCATTTGAATGTGTTTCCACAGGAGCTTGACTAACAATGGTACCTGGATGACAGGGAATGGTTTTACTCAGTCCTCTAAGACGCTAGAGCAGTTAGCATCAAAGGCTTTAGAATCACTTCAACCTGAGCTCTGCCATTTTCTTTTCTTTTCTTTTCTTTTTTTTTTTTTTTTGAGACACAGTCTCCCTCTGTCACCAGGCTGGAGTGGCGTGATCACGCAGTGGCGTGATCTTGGCTCACTGCAACCTCTGCCTCCTGGGTTCAAGCGATTCTCGTGCCTCAGCCTCCCAAGTAGCTGGGACCACAGGCATGCGCCACCACACCCAGCTAATTTTTGTATTTTTAGCAGAGACAGGGTTTCACCATGTTGGCCAGGATGGTTTCGATCTCCTGACCTCGTGATCCGCCCACCTCAGCCTCCCAAAGTGCTGGAATTACAGGCGTGAGCCAACGCGGCCGGCCAGCTCTGCCATATTTTAGCTGTGGGACTTTGGACAAATGACAAGCTCTCCACGTCTCATATATTCAATGAAGATTTAAAAGTGACTTTTCACCCAGGATTTTTGTGAGGATCAAATGAGATAATCTAAGAAAACATGTAACACGGTGCCAGTCACTTAAAAAGCATCTATAAAGGGTCGTTACTCTTTATCATTAGTAACTTCCTGCCGCTGCTAGCCAATGGCTGCCTGCTGCACAAACAGGCCAAATGGCCCAAAGGAAGCCCCAAAGTTTCATTTATGTATCCTGAAAGGGTGCAGAAGAAAGCTGGACCAAGTGACAAGCTGCCTGCCTCTAACCCTCGAAGGGTGTCCTGGGTAAGGAACACTGCTGTTGCTTTTTTGGGTTAAACCCTGACAGGCAGGGTGGGGCATCTTCTGGCCCTGGCTTCAAGTTCCACCCACAGTCCTTAGTTCATGACCCTGGTGCTTGTTGCCAGAGATAAAGGAGTAACTGGAACCAAGGCACATTTCATAGAAGAGATGTGATCCCAAATACCTGACTGAGTATCTCTGGCTCTCTTCCTGAGGTTCTCAAACAGGCAGAACTGTTTCAGCTTTGAGCATCTGACTCCCTGCCTGGGGTATCTAACCCCTCTGTCTAACTATACGAGAAGCCCAGAAAATCAACCTTGATGGAGTTCTGTCTTTTAACGAATGTGGAAGGTGCCAATTTTCCCCTGTGAAGCCATTTTCCTTTTTTCTTAGCAATATTCTGTTAGCTTAATCCTTCAGGATTCCTTGTGAGATGGAAGGTGTAGAAGGGAGAGGTGAGAGTGAGAAGGCCCAGCTCAGTAAATGAGATATCACTGTGAAAGGGAAGGGCAGAGACAGGATTCATGTTAAGAGCACAGAGAGAAAGGATGAAGACTTCAGCAACACACAGTCTGGCTCCCTTAATTCAGTGCTACTTATGAGCCTCTGGGTTTTATTAATGCGGAAACCTCTGCATTTTCTTCTCCCTGTGACCATCAGAAACAGCTTAGCTCTGAGATCTTCTGAGAGCTACCATGTTAAAAATCCAAGTGAATGGTTCAGTAGAGCTGGCTCTTGCTTTATTGAGATACAATATTGGTGTGCTCATGCATTCCACCCCTGCTCTACTAAACCCTGGCAGATGAAAATTCAAGTTTGGAGAGGGGGAGAGGGAAGAATGATACTGAAGAAAAAAAACTTCACCTTGGGATTCCTGGAAATAGCAAATTCTTTTTGTAACTCCCCCACAGTGCACTGGCACTGCTGTTCACTGTATTTAACAAAAAAAAAAAATTAATTTCAGGGACACAGCACAGCTACCGTATGAAGGAGGTAAGCTAGAATTTGATACAAACAATAAGTAGGTGGATCTGACTTTAGTTAACATTGTACGGTGAAAACAGATTCTGTGGCAATGCAATTTAATTGTACTTAGGGCTGTGGACATTGGCATAATTGGACCGCACAGTAGGTTTGACTCTGAGCATAAGCCATCCCAAGTGCTGGTGCCAAAGGGGTTCCCCGTTTCCTTATCTCCACCTCACTTCCTTCTGGAATTCTGATGCTCGGTCCTCCAAACGGAAGACTGCTACTCTGGCTACCCCGCATTCTACATGGCTAACCATGGGAAACCCAAACCTCCCAGCCTCTGTTTTCTCATCTAGGAAATGGCAAACAAACTCTAACTGAAATGGTTGCTGTGAGAAGTGGAGGGAATGTACGAGAGAGCCTAGGCACTCGATTCTTGATGGCTAATAATAATAACTATTATTACGGAAGAAAAAAGAGAAGGAGGAGGAGGGAAGGAGGAGGAAAAGGGGAGGACAGCGAATTTTAATTACATAAAAAAGTCACCCCCCCAGAGCCATCTGGGCAGCATAAGAGTGATTTTATAGGATGCTTTAAAAAAAATCTTAACGTTCTCTTAAATGAGCATGCTAATTTTCTTGATAGGATTATTTCTTTGTTTCTAAACTTTTGCATTTTATTCTGTTTTAATTATATAATATTTCAGAGTTGACATCAAAAAGGGCATCATCTGTTTTTATCTTTTTCAGCCTCATCTACATCCTTGGTTACTGTTGCTCAGTAATCCTGGGGTCACCCAAAGTACTTTTGTTCTAGAGACCTTTTAAAGGAAGCCAAGGCAGTGGTTTAGAAAATTTGTTTGTAGACAAAAAGACATCGAAACAACCAAGGGAGTGATTCCTCTTTGGGATAATTATTTTTAATGCCTTACTGGACACATTTGAAATGCTTTTCAGGTCTTTTGGGAGTCAAATTAGGAGATTTTTTTGTTGTTGTTAGGAGAGATTTTTGTTTGATTTTTACATCTTGGAACTTGATCTTTGGTAAATGTCTGCATGTTTGCACATTACATAATACTCACTCCCCCTCGCACTCACCCCCACCCCAATGCTCTAAGGATTTCATCAGCATCAAATAGGCAAATAATACAGGGTAAAGAAGATTAACAATTTCTGTGTGGCCCTCTGGTTATCTTCCTTTGACTGTGCTACTAAATGCAGGTCTAAAAGACATGTGCTTTGCGGTTTGGTCAACCAGTCCCTTCAATTCAGTTCCAAACCAGAAGAGCTCCCCCTTCGGGTATCCTTGTTGCTAAACCTGTATGAGGCATCATTGACTTAATTCAGACAAAAAGATGCTGTCAGTACTTTAGGTATCTTTATATGTCAGGTCCTCCTCTGTGAAGTATGAGGATGCTTTCCTAATTTTCACAATATAGTGATGAGCTAATTATTTACATACTCACCAGGGGCCTCTCTGTAAAACTTAATGAAATTGTCTTCAGTATCCCTGTATAACATAGAGAGGTACTGGAGAGAATTCTTGGATCTGGTAAAAGTGAGGGTTGTTACAAGGATACTTCTTTTTTTTTTGAGACAGAGTTTCGTTCTTGTTGCTCAGGCTGGAGTTCAGTGGCCTGATCTCAGCTCACTGCAACCTCCACCTTCCAGTTTCAAGCGATTCTCCTGCCTCAGCCTCACAAGTAGCTGGGATTACAGGCGCCCACCACCACGCCCGGCTAATTTTTGTATTTTTAGTAGAGACAGGTTTCACCATGTTGGCAAGGCTGGTCTCGAACTCCTGACCTCGTGATCTGCCCACCTTGGCCTCCTAAAGTGCTGGGATTACAGGTGTGAGCCACTGCACCTGGCCACAAGGATACTTCTTACAAGTACTTGCACATCCTGCTTCAATGATGACCAAGTCCTGAAGCACAGCCAGACTGTAAGCAAGTTGAGAGCCAGGTTTGTGCATCCTGTTTTACTTACTGGGCCTGTAAAAGGTACTCGGTAAGTGCAAACCAATGAATGCTGTTCCAGAAAGACAGATTTTATTTCCTGGCCTTGGGTAAAGCTCTGCCACTAACTAAGTGCATGATCTTGGGCAGATCGTATCAATAATGTCTTATCTGAAAAATGAGGGGTAGGATTAGAAGCTTTGTAAAGTCCCTTGCAGTTGTAACCTGCTGCAACCTGCTGATTCAGCCTGGTGAGAAATCATCCTCCATATCCTGTGCCCACTGAGTGACAGCTGGAAAGGTGCCAGGCTGAGTTAGGACAAGAGAATGGTGTCAATTAGAGTCCTCTCGCCCCAAATAATTGCTTAAAATATGTACAACATTGCTTTAAAAATGAAGAAGGCCAGCTGATTCAAATATTTTCATCTTTTGACAGTAGCTCTGTTGATGGGATTCAGAAGGGAACTGCAGTCTCTATGGTGCTCTCTAGGCATGTGACCCACCTCAGATGAGCAGGTGACTTTTTTTTTTCTTTTTAAAATCTGGTTTCCAAACACAGAGATGGTCAAGGAGCCGCTTTGGCATTATACACCCATCTCAGATCCATTTGTGATAGACATATGAGAACTGTGTTCAGGGACTCCAGTTGCCTTTAAGGAAATAGGGCAAACTTGACCTAACAGATGTTCATGTTTATCCAATAATAATAATGATACACTGTGTTTATTTGGAACATGACTAAATTGTTCATGCAACTTCAAGGTCCCAGTGCAAAATTCTGGATTCAGACGCTGTGGATTTATCACACCCACTGGGGGATATTGGCCTCACAAACCTCTGAATGGATTATCCTCTTCCATTAGAGTGGGCTCATCCTTTCCAAAAGATAACATCTTGCTTCTCTGGCCTGAATTTCCCTTGACTTCTTTCAAAACACAATTTGTGAAAACAATGTGTGAGAACACATGACAATGGGAAGTGCTCAGCGGGAATACCGTAATAAATATGTCAGGTATATAAACTAGCTGATGATATTTATTTGGTTCTTAAGAAACTTTCTTAAGAAAGTATTGGGATACAATAAATTAAAATACTTTTTCAACATCTCAGATTTCTCCAGTAACGCATATATGCTGGCAGACCTTAGTGAATCACGTTAATTTATTTGTAAATCATCAAAGGAAAGCATAAAATATATGTCTCCAGGCAAGTGAATGGACTGGGAAACCAAATTGGGCAACAGCAGTATTTTCCTGCGCCAGAAGTAAACATGTCAACATGGTGACGAGGGTTTTGTCCCACTCCTGGCTGAACTTTGAAGGGTGAGATGGCTAATATCGAGGGACCCGGCTTTGTAGTTCTTTCTCACAAAGCATTCCATGAGTCAAGAGAAGGACAATCTGCAGCATGACACAGAGAACTAGGTCAGAATAATATTTCTTAATGGAGATTCCAATGATGTATTCATTACAGCAGTGGTTCAGAATTTTCTGTGCCTTGATAGGTTGTCTTTTTGAGTAGGCACCCATTTTTAAATTTAATGTGATATAAAACTGAGTTCCAAGGAATCCCTATTATGTAAGTGGTAAAAAACGATGTGGAGGAGAGGAAGCAAAATATGTGCATATCCACATATACACTATAAGCCAGTATTCCAAAGATGAACTCTGGGAACATAAAAGTTTATGCTGCCCTTGATTTGTGTGGCTTTAAAAAATACCAGCAATATTTAGTGATATTGGAGCATAACATCAAAACAGAAACTCTTTGCCCTAAATTTGCATGTGCTGTGCTATCTGGCTTTCTTTCTTATTGCTCTACATGGATTCTTCCTCCTTTCTGGTTAAATGAGTTTATCCACAATTCCCTTTGTGGACTGCATTTCCACATGATTGCCTCTTCTTGTATTTTTTTCCTGACATTTGCTGAGCTTGGGGAGAGACATCCTCCAGCTCCACTGGGTGGGATGAAGGAATCTAGCCCAAGCTCCCCTTCCCCATGAGGATTTTTTCTTTTGACTCCAGCTAAAAACTATGTCTCCATCCCTTCTTTTATTTATATATTTATTTAGAGACAGATCCTCACTCTGTTGCCCAGGCTGGAGTGCAGTGGCGCGATCTCAGCTCACTGCAAGCTCCGCCTGCTGGGTTCACGCCATTCTCCTGCCTCAGCCTCCCAAGCAGCTAGGACTACAGGCGCCCGCCACCACTCCCGGCTAATTTTTTGTATTTTTTAGTAGAGACGGGGTTTCACCGTGTTAATCAGGATGGTCTTGATCTCCTGACCTCGTGATCCGCCCGCCTGACCTCCCACAGTGCTGCGATTACAGGCGTGAGCCACCGCGCCTGGCCCTCCATCCCTTCTTCTAACAGTACCCTGGGGCACAGTTTCTCAGTCTCGGCACTATTGACATTTTAGGCTGGATAATTCTTTGTTCTGGGGGGTCTGTCCTGTGCATTATAGAATGTTTAACAGCATCCCTGGCCTCTACTCACTAGATACCAGGACTGTGCATCTAGTGATCCTGTCTTACTGTAAGTCGTGACAAAAAATATCTCTAGACATTGCCAGACGTCTGCTGGGTTGCAAATCATCTCAGTTGAGAACAACCACTGCCCTAGAGCTCTCACCAAATCGTTCGCAGATTCTGGAGAACAATGGTCAGGTCTTTCGCAGCGTTTGGATTCGGGTTCAAGTTAACTGATGATTAACGAATAAAAGATGCTTTTAAAAAATTACGGGGTCGGGCGTGGTGGCTCACGGCTGTAATCCCAGACTTTGGGAGGCCAAGGCGGGTGGATCACCTGAAGTCAGGAGTTTAAGACCAGCCTGACCAACATGGTGAAACCCTGTCTCTATTAAAAATACAAAAACTAGCCAGGCGGGGTGGTGGGTGCCTGTAATCCCCGCTACTTGGGAGGCTGAGGCAAGAGAATCGCTTGAACTCGGGTAGCGGAGGTTGTAGTGAGCCGAGATGGGGTCACTGCACTCCAACCTGGGTGACAGAGCAAGATTCTGCCTCAAAAAAAATAAAAAATAAAAATAAAAAAAAACCCATTAGGCACATTCTAAAAATTAACAAATCAGGTTGATTTGATCAGGTCAGATCCTCCAGAAAACTACAAAAAGGGACTATATTATTGCCTCTCTCCTCTTACAGTTTACAGAACCATAATTTTAATGCTGTGGACATTGGGTTGAAATAAACTACCAGAAAATGTCGTTGCATCTTTTGAAACATTATTTTTGAAGTCGCTAACCGTTACCTGATAACTCTTATAGAAAGGCTAGTATGGTAAGTTCCTCTTTGAGTTTAGTACTAGAAAAAATTCATCTCTTCTGAAAAACTAGGTTTCTTCCCTTTATTGCATCACGAAAGATAGGTAACTAGTGCTATTTTCCCCTTTCTTACTTGGCTGTCAGGAAGTTCAGAATTGCATTATGCTCAATTATAGTAACTATCTGCATCCTTTGATTCTAATATTAATTCAATTTTTTTCTTCTCATTAGCCCCATTTAGCCTATCTTTTACCCTTGTTCCAATGGCTTTCTTAAATCTATCATTTTTTTAATAAAATAAAATTTTAAGCAAGTGAAGTCCTTATTTACCATCAAAAGTAGAATACTTTGGAGTAAAAGGAGAGTAATTAATAATTAAGCTGGGACAACAGCTTAAGCTGAGACTGTCCTGGGCAAAATCAAAATGTGATGTCACTCTAGATACAAATAATAAATAAAACAGATAACATTTATGCCATTCCCAGGTTGGGGATAATTAAAGATAAACATGCGCCCTACATAAGGAATGAAAGCTAAGTTATGTGCTTCTTATTCATCTTGTGTCACATCTGTTGATTATAGTTTAATATTTATTATTTCTTGGGAAATTTTGTAATTAGCCTCTATTTGTAGAGGAAAAAATATTGGGCTTTCTAAAATGTATTTAATTTCTACCAAAGTAAGGGGGAGGGTCTTTTAGATCTGGAACAGTGATCACAATAGAAGTTTCATTTGTTTGTGATTTATGGAGACTTGGAATAAATGTACTATTGACCAGTGTCAGATTTCTAATGACTAGATCTTGTTTTTCCTAAGCAACTTTGCATAAACTTTTGTCATATTTTGAACAGCAAGCTGATACTGTGTTCCAGACCGTTTACAGAGCTATTAATAAATGCTATGTGGTAACTCCAGGAAGAGGATCAAACTACTTTTTCTCCCCATTGGCTGAAATCAATTTCCTGCTTATTTTGAAGAACATGGGATTACCAATGTCCTTGACATACGCTGGGTATTTTGCAAAGAAACCCATTAAAAATAAATGAGATTCAGAATTTTAACCTAAAGCGTTCATAGTCAAAAAGGAAATCCTTGTCAGTGCCTTGGTTGCAAAGTCTTTCATATGTGAAAGAGTGAGATTTCAGTGTAGTACAGGTGAGTTTAAAAGAAGATAGAAATTACTTTCTGTGTTTGTTCAGAATCATGCTGTAATTCAAGCTCTTGCAGGCTCACCTGTTTTAAGTCATAGCTAATATTGTCTGATTAGAAGAATTGTAGGTTTAATAACTACCAGTTATTGATTTCTTACTACATGCCAGGTGCCACGAAAGCAATTTACATATGGTGTTTTAATTTGTTCTCAAAACAACCCTGTGAGGTGATGGTATCATTAGCCCTGTTTTAAGGTTATGAAAATTAAAGCTCAGAGAAAATAAGGAAGCCACCCAAAGCCATACAGAAAATAACTAGCGAGGAGGCTTTAAACCCCAGTCATCTGATCCCAAAGCCTTGCTCTCTATACTATTATAAACTTCTACAGTAAGAAGCTCTCTATGTGAAAATTATAAGGTTCAACACTTGGCCCAACAAGATGGCCAGAGAACAGTAACAATAACCGTAGCAGTGATGCTTACATAGCACACATTCTATGCTATGCATTGTTTTGAAAGTTTATATATATGATCTCACTTACTTATCACAATAGCCCTGCATGAAAGGTACTATACTCACTTAAAAATGAAGAACCATGAGAGCAAGCAATGTGCCCCAGTGTTCTGAATAGACATATTCCTTTCCACATGTTCACATGTAACAATGTTATGATGGTCTTCTGCACTGTCTGACACTTCAGAGTTTTCAAATCACCTATGGATGCTTTATTTCATTTTATATAATCTCCATTTTACACATAAAGCTACTGAAAAACTGAGAGCTGAAGCTATTTCCCTAAGATCACAGTAACTGATAGAGATAGGATTTGAGTTCAGGTGTTTTTATACCTACCCCAGAATTCTTTATCCTGGACAAGGCTGCAAACCTGAAATGTGGCTCTAAGGAACAATGCAATTCTAAGATTTTCAATGCAATTCTAAGATTTTCAGGTTGTTAACCTATAGACTTCTGTACTAAAAGAAGGAACCTAAGCTTGATTTTGAGGCAAAAGCCACATATTTCCTGTTTTAGGGTCCTGGTGTAGGGCAAAATCATTTAAATTTCCTTCTAGATGGCAACAACCTTGTTTAAGGTCAGATTCAGCAAAGGTTTCTCTTCCTGCTCTTCACCCTGATCCAACAAGAACAAAGACTTCCACCTTTTCTGAATTCACACCAATATCAATACTAAGCCTATAACTTATCAATTAATTGGAAGCAAAGCATAGAATTTATGTCTATATAGATAATAGCCAACATGTATTGAGTGCTTCCTAAAGGCTAAGAAATTTACATGCCTTACCTTATGTAGTCCTCATAACTTGCTGTTATTTTTTATCTTGAAGAGAAGAAAACTGAATTTCTCAGGGGTTAAATAGCTTTCAGAGTCACTCAGCTAGTGGTGATGATTTTAAGCCAGCTATATAAACAGCTGCCCTGCCGCTTTCATAAAGTCCAGTTTTGTAGGCAGAGATTTATCCAGACCAACCATTCCAAATCCTTCAAACCCTTCCTGCATCTGGACTGTAAGGTGGAATACTTCCTAAACACACTAAAATGTGGTAGTGTGGGCAGAAAGCAAAAGGAAGTGAGGGCTATCTGTTGCTCCTCATTCCCATCTCACCTTTAGTCATTCTCTAGTCTTACAGATCTCCTTGTTCTTTTATAGCAATTACTACTATATGAAAATATCTCATTGTTTCCTTGTAATGTATCTGTCATACCTACTGGAATATAAACTGTGAGAGCGGGGTGAGCCTGTCATTACCCTGTGCTCCTACTTGCTGCTACAATGCCCAACAATCTTTGTTGCACGGTGAGTGAATGAATGAAAGAATGAATGGCACGGAAAGGATGAGGATATCCCTGCTTTAAAAAAAAGATGGGGAAGGTGAGCTATTCCATTTTTCTGGTGGACAACTTGATTTTTTAAAAAAAGTCTTGAAAACAATCATTTCCAAAAAGCAAAGAATGTCCCAATTTGCCAAGATTTACAGAGAGCCATGGTTATGAACTTCACGAGCAATTGCTGCTTAAACATTGTGTCTGATTTTTGTCTTGGTAAGCTTCTGCCAGGAATTCTGTCCATTCCTCTTCCTCACTCCCGGGCGCTTTCCTCGTCTTCCACCGCTAATGAATACACATCCCTCTGCTGACCAGCGGCTGCATATCCCAGTTGCCAGACGAAGGCCCAGGTAGCTCTTCTCTACTGGATAATCCGTTATCTGTGTGAAGAGCCAGTGCCTCCTCTGGGTGGATTTTTGTGAAGCTAAACTGATCTTTGGGGGACAAATGCATTCTACAGAAATCAATGCCTTTCTCCCTCTAGTCATCTTTTTTTTCTCTTATTCCTTTGCTCTCAAATATATCCTGCATACCGTTATTTAAAAACATATTATCTAAGAAGACTCCAAATGTAAACGGTTGAAATTTTTCCTTTCCACCATACTTTCTGAGCCACCACTATGTTAACAAACTGGTCTAAAGAATATCCCCTTCCTGCCCTGCTGCACCCTCCCCCCATATTCCTAACTCAACCTTGGATATTTTTACAACATATATTCAGTTTGAAAGATAATACTGATACCTTGTTTTATATGAACATTTATACACCAGGACCCTGGCAAGGGACTGACTTCATTGGGATACTTTATGGCTTAATACATCTGAATGATTTATATCTCGTTTTGTCTAAGCATTTATGCTAATAAATTTAACAGATTCTCCAGTACTGCTTGGTCCTTCGTTTTCTTCAGGGGGTCAAAGTGAGAGGAAAATAAAGCAGGGTGTTACTAAAGAAAGAAGGAAGAAATTGGCTAAACGAATTTAGAACACAAATAAAATTACTGCACAAATAAAATCTCTGCTTACGATTAAGCTGGAATGGCGGTCAAAAAAGAAAAGGGAAAAAAAATTCCTAGATGCAGGTAGATTTCTATAATTAAGCCATTTCTCAAAGGGGAAGTAAATGTGACAGAATATTTAGCAAGCAAATTTACTGAGGAATATTTTGTTCCTATATAATTAAATTCAACACTGAGGTAAAACTGACAACTATTAAACTGAGGGCAGTTGGGAGAGGGAAAGGGGATGAGATAAAATCCAGTCTATAAAACATTCCATTATCTTTTATAGGTTAAAAAACACAAAAGAAATACTTGGAAAGAATTGTCTAAGACGGAAAGATTTTAAGATTGTGTGACTTTTTTTTTTTTTTTTTTTTTTTTTTTTTTTTTACAGGTGCAGAATAATTTTTTTTCCCTCTCTCGTGGTTTTTCTTTTCCCCATTTTTTTCCCCTGTTGTTTGCAAAGTTGAATCTGGGGTCAGGAGTTCTAATTGTAACCTCAGACTGGAATTCCAGATGGTGCGCTCAGGACTGGAAGCAACTCTCAGTTCATCAATTTCATGGGCCTACGTATCTGCTCTGGCCACGGCCTGGCCTCCATCCCCACTGTGGCATTAATGCAGAACAAATTGAGACATATCCTCTATATAATTAGTTCCAGAATTTAAAAAGATTTACGGTATAATAATAGAGGCAGTGCCGCGGAATCCTTTCACTGAGGACTCTCGGGGAGCTCGGGGACCATCTCGCGGTGGCATCAGAACAGACGAGTAACCCCAGCGGCTCCAGGCACTGCGAACTGGGGGAGAGGGGGAAATTTTGCACCGCATTCGGCAGTACCTAACGGTTCCGGGCTCCCAGATAGGGTCAGCGAGGAGAGTTAGGACAGTAAGTGGGGACTGGTTAAAAAAAATCGACTTAATTTTGAAATGATCAGAAGAAGCTGGGAGTAGTTATCACAAAGCCCCTCCCTTGCCCCCCCCTTTTTTTAATTGAAGGAATGACGTTGAAATTTTCACCGCCAGCGCGGGGCTGGGAACCATCCTAAACACTTGCCCTGCAGCCCCGAGTGGGCAGATTCCGAAGAGTTGGAGTCGGCGGGGAGGGGAGGAACAGCTGTTGGGCTGTCTTGCGCGTGGGGCTCGGGGCGCGGGCCCCGGGGAGAGGCGCTAGTCGAAAGCTTGTTCCTCTCCCGCGACAGGCAGCAGCGAGGTCGAGCCACTCTTTATTACGGCCTGCGGGCCCCGCGCGCAGTGTGGCTGTCCCCGCCCTTGACCGACCGCAGCGCTTTGGGGTGTTTATTCAGTTGTCCGCGGCCGCTGGGTGACTCCCGGAGGGCGGCCCAGGCGTGCGCACTGGTCCCTGGGGTTGCGGCTGTAGCAGCCCAGCTCCGCGCTCTGTCAGATGCAGTGGACAGCGCCGGGGTGAAAGTAAGGGTTGAGAAATCCTCACTGCCCTGCTCCTACCCAGCCTCGATTTTTTCATATTGCAATAATTATGCACCTTCGAGGCCGGGATGCCTGCGCTTTGCCAGTGTATCAACGCCACATGGTTTTCCAGGGGCTGTCCTCGCCTCTGCATCCCATTAGCTCTGAAGAGGTAGAGGGGTGGTGGGTAAAACCTCCAACTGGACGTTGAGAGACCCGGGTTTCAGCTCGGCGTTGCCACTAACTTGTTTCCTGTCCTTAAACAGTAGTAGTAACAAAAACTGTAAAGTTGATTGAGTCAAAGGCCCACACTGCTCTCCTATCTAATCCTCAGAACAACTCTATGAGGTGGGCGCTAGTATCCCATTATCCCGTTTGACCAGTAAGGAAACTGAGGCTCAGAGAGACTGCGGAACTCGTCTAGGGTCACACAGCTGTTGGTTACCTGGCAGAGCTGAGGTTCCATTCTGGGGCCACCAACCCCTTGCTCTTTACCGCTGCGCTCCATAGACTGCCTCTCCTTCGGCTGTCTGGGCCTCAGTTTCCTTCTCTGTAAAACGAGAAGTTTAATCTGCAGCTTTCTTTGCCAATCGGTGGTTCAGACCAGGAACCTCTGCTACAGATCTCGGCGCTGACAGGGGTAAGAAGGTGGGTGAAAGAAGGGGGCGCCCAGTTTTCCACAGCCTGCTTTTCTCTGGGACCTCGCGAAGGGCGGGCCTCGCGAGCTAAAGGAGGTACAGGAGAGCGCCTATCGTCCGCGGCGGGTGAAGGTGCTACCTGCCTTCGTGCTAGGCTGTGAGTCCTGGTGCTTAGCTCAGGGCGCCAAGGCCAGTGTAGCTGGCATGTCCCCCTTGGAAAACCTCAGGTCTCCCGCAGAGAACGTTACCCACAACAAAGAAGAGGACAGAGAGGCATGGAGCGCCCTGCGACTGCAGGAGTACGTCAGTTCCCCAGCGCTGGCTTAGTGTCGCCTGGGCTTCCGGGCATGTGGATCCGTTGGGGTCGTACGGAGACTTCCTGTCGGGTCCCTGGGGTCCTCCGACTGCGGCTCCTCAGCTTAGCACTTTCTTCTTGGCCCCGCAGGCTGCAGGGAACTCCTCCCACCTCTTTAGTCGGAGAAGTCCAAGTCGGGCGAGGGGGCACCCCGGGGTTCGCACCGGTGCTCTTCCCCTCCCCGCCCCCACAAGGATTCTGAGAAAATAAATGGCAGAGGAGAGAGGAGTTCTACATTTGCTTGGCTCTCCTTTCCTCCTATCCACCCCTACATCCCTCACCCCGGGGCAAAAACTTATTTTTGAAAAATGTTGGCAGAGATTTACGTGTCTTTGCCTTACCTGGGTTTCACAAACACAACGACTCACATTCAAGCCAGCCTCCCTTCAGATAACCTCCTCTCCCCCCGCTAAAAGTGCCAAGGATGGTAAAAGAAGAAACAATCTCAATCTTTTCGTTTGGAAATGAAAGTCCCCGGCTTTTCATAAAGGGCTCCTCGCCCCTCACAGTTGAGTCCTAGTTAAGAAAAACGACTTCCAAGTAGAAATAATAGGCGGGGAGAAGGAAGGGAGATACAGGGATCTGGGGGGTTCTTAGGGCAACTGGCAGTGAATTTTGTCTCGAGAGTCCTTTCTCCACTCAAAAAACCAAACGCGCGAGCCCCGCGAAAGGTTTAGGGATAGATCGTGTGGGAGAGGACTGAGCAGAGAGCGTGGGGGCAGTGTCTTGTAGAATCTTTCTTTTCTTAATAATAATTTTAAAAGCTTCTGAGTGGAGACGACGCAAAGTCAAGCAGCAAAGGTGGCCTGGGAGGCAAGCGGAGGGCTCAAGTGCCGCATCTTTACCCTCAGGGTCTCCTGCGCCTACGGGATGCGCATTCCCAAGAAGTGCGCCCTTCGAGTAAGTCCTGGGCCCGCACACACTTCGGGTCCGCAGCCAGAATTTAATGGCGACAACGTTTATGCAATGCAAGCTAAAAACCAAAGCGTAAAAAATTACTATGTCATTTATTGAAACGCCATTCTTTGTCAAACTGCAACTACTTTGCTTCACATAAGTTTGGCTGGAAAGCTTGCAGCCCCAGCCCGGGCCAGCCAGGTACAGGAGGCCGGACTGCAACCGGTTGCTTCCCTCCCGTCGCGCCTGGCCGTCCCACGCTGCGCCGTCGCTGCTGCCTCCTGGCGCCCCTGGGATTTTATACGCACCTCTGAAACACGCTCCGCTCCGGCCCCCGGTTCTTCTCCTTGCCTAGGGGTTGTTTCCCAATAGATACTGACTCCTTTAGAAGATCCAAAAACCAAACCAAAACACCCCCTACCCGCCCCAAACACCTGCTCTGGGGCGCGGGGGCTGCCAAACAGAGACTAGACGAAGGGAGTCAGATTTAGCGAAGCTCTTCGAGCTCCCAAAGATTCGAACACTAACTCGCGCCCGTGGGCCGATGGAGGTTCTCCCTACTCCACTCCTTGGTCCCCTTAACTGGCTTCCGCCTCCTGGTCAATCACTGAGCAACCAGAATGGTATCCTCGACCAGGGCCACAGGCAGTGCTCGGCGGAGTGGCTCCAGGAGTTACCCGCTCCCTGCCGGGCTTCGTATCCAAACCCTCCCCTTCACCCCTCCTCCCCAAACTGGGCGCCAGGATGCTCCGGCCGGAATATACGCAGGCTTTGGGCGTTTGCCCAAGGGTTTTCTTCCCTCCTAAACTAGCCGCTGTTTTCCCGGCTTAACCGTAGAAGAATTAGATATTCCTCACTGGAAAGGGAAACTAAGTGCTGCTGACTCCAATTTTAGGTAGGCGGCAACCGCCTTCCGCCTGGCGCAAACCTCACCAAGTAAACAACTACTAGCCGATCGAAATACGCCCGGCTTATAACTGGTGCAACTCCCGGCCACCCAACTGAGGGACGTTCGCTTTCAGTCCCGACCTCTGGAACCCACAAAGGGCCACCTCTTTCCCCAGTGACCCCAAGATCATGGCCACTCCCCTACCCGACAGTTCTAGAAGCAAGAGCCAGACTCAAGGGTGCAAAGCAAGGGTATACGCTTCTTTGAAGCTTGACTGAGTTCTTTCTGCGCTTTCCTGAAGTTCCCGCCCTCTTGGAGCCTACCTGCCCCTCCCTCCAAACCACTCTTTTAGATTAACAACCCCATCTCTACTCCCACCGCATTCGACCCTGCCCGGACTCACTGCTTACCTGAACGGACTCTCCAGTGAGACGAGGCTCCCACACTGGCGAAGGCCAAGAAGGGGAGGTGGGGGGAGGGTTGTGCCACACCGGCCAGCTGAGAGCGCGTGTTGGGTTGAAGAGGAGGGTGTCTCCGAGAGGGACGCTCCCTCGGACCCGCCCTCACCCCAGCTGCGAGGGCGCCCCCAAGGAGCAGCGCGCGCTGCCTGGCCGGGCTTGGGCTGCTGAGTGAATGGAGCGGCCGAGCCTCCTGGCTCCTCCTCTTCCCCGCGCCGCCGGCCCCTCTTATTTGAGCTTTGGGAAGCTGAGGGCAGCCAGGCAGCTGGGGTAAGGAGTTCAAGGCAGCGCCCACACCCGGGGGCTCTCCGCAACCCGACCGCCTGTCCGCTCCCCCACTTCCCGCCCTCCCTCCCACCTACTCATTCACCCACCCACCCACCCAGAGCCGGGACGGCAGCCCAGGCGCCCGGGCCCCGCCGTCTCCTCGCCGCGATCCTGGACTTCCTCTTGCTGCAGGACCCGGCTTCCACGTGTGTCCCGGAGCCGGCGTCTCAGCACACGCTCCGCTCCGGGCCTGGGTGCCTACAGCAGCCAGAGCAGCAGGGAGTCCGGGACCCGGGCGGCATCTGGGCCAAGTTAGGCGCCGCCGAGGCCAGCGCTGAACGTCTCCAGGGCCGGAGGAGCCGCGGGGCGTCCGGGTCTGAGCCGCAGCAAATGGGCTCCGACGTGCGGGACCTGAACGCGCTGCTGCCCGCCGTCCCCTCCCTGGGTGGCGGCGGCGGCTGTGCCCTGCCTGTGAGCGGCGCGGCGCAGTGGGCGCCGGTGCTGGACTTTGCGCCCCCGGGCGCTTCGGCTTACGGGTCGTTGGGCGGCCCCGCGCCGCCACCGGCTCCGCCGCCACCCCCGCCGCCGCCGCCTCACTCCTTCATCAAACAGGAGCCGAGCTGGGGCGGCGCGGAGCCGCACGAGGAGCAGTGCCTGAGCGCCTTCACTGTCCACTTTTCCGGCCAGTTCACTGGCACAGCCGGAGCCTGTCGCTACGGGCCCTTCGGTCCTCCTCCGCCCAGCCAGGCGTCATCCGGCCAGGCCAGGATGTTTCCTAACGCGCCCTACCTGCCCAGCTGCCTCGAGAGCCAGCCCGCTATTCGCAATCAGGGTAAGTAGGCCGGGGAGCGCCCCCTACGCGCGGGGCAGTGGCGCCAGGGACTCTCCGCTCTAGGACACCCCCCTCTCCTACCCCTTTTGACCGCAGCTCTTACCCAGCTGCTTCCCAAGGGCCGTGAGGATAGCGGAAGCGGCGGCTGGGGAGGAGGCCGGAGAGTGGGAGTGCACGCAGGCACTGGCCCCCGACATCCTCCAAAGCCAGGCAGAGCTAGGAGCCTGACTGTTCGCAAGAGCCGGGAGGGCGTCTGGGGCCCCTTAGAGTCCGAGAGATTCCGGGACTGCTAGTCCCCACGGGAGTGGAACCAGGAGACCGGCGCAGTGTCTGGCTCTGCCTTGGGGAGAGTTTTGTTAATTAAGGAAACGCCAAATTGTCACCAAGCGTAGCGCTTTTCAGACGTCTGGACTCTGGATTCGGAGTGGGACCAGCGCGGGGGTGAGCGCCTGTGCTGTGCTGCCTCCGCAGCGCTAAAATGTCCAGGAGCACCTCCAGCCCTTATAATACGGTGTTGGCACACACTTAGGTGCACATTAAGTATCGTAGAGAACTAGAATGAGCACATGCACCTCCAGTAACTAAATGGCTTTCTGGAACAGCGTCGTGTCCGTGGATAGCTCCCGCGTATGGTAATACAGAAGTGGATCTTCACTGGGCTTCGCTCAGGCGGCGGCCACGCAGGTTCTGGGGATGGAAGAGAACTTGACTTATCCGAGTCCAAGCTATGCGGGACCAGGTTCTACCGCAGGCAGTGGAAGGAGGCACGAGCTTTGGCCTTTCTTTCAGCGCATCTGGGGCGCCTCTTCATCTTGTAAACGCGGGGCTCAGCTGGGACAGTATTTCTTCAAGACCTGGGGTTAGAACAAGGACAGGGTTATTCGCTGTGCTTAGTCAGGATACAAGGAGGGAACTCGGCACACGATAAGTATCAGGTTGGTTTCTCATCCCGCGCCGATGCCCGCCCACCTCTCTTTCGCCTGGGCGGCGCGGACCCGAACCTGCGGAGCCCCTGTAGTTTGCCCTCTTCATTTATTTTCAGTGGATTTCCACGCTATTGAGAACCTAAGCCAGTTCGGTTTGATTCGGTAATTTAGTAAACGCTTTACTAATACAATGGCGGATGCTTTTCCTGGAGCAAAATTACTCGAGGGCCTAGGGACCGGGATGTTTTTGGAATGCGTGGGAAGCAGAGTGTATCTTTTGCAGGAGGTACCTTCGCCCAAGGCTCGGGAGAAGGGCTCTGCCCTTGTTGCCCGCCTTCACCCGCGCCTTCTAAACGCGCGTCTTCAGGCCGCTCCTACCTTAGCCTAACCAGGAGCACCCGGCCCCCGCGAAGCCTTGGAGAAATCGAAACCGCCCTTTTCTTCGGGAGAATCTGGGATCACTGTCCTGTGGAGGAACCGCAAGCAGACCCAAGGGTTGCCTCCACTCTATGCTTTTAGTTAGTGAAATTAGTGTTTTGTACTCAAGGGGCGTTGGGACAACTTACTGGTCGCTGAGGCTTGTGTTCTTTGATCAGATCGCGCCACCTTTGTTTAGCAGGCTGGTGTTACTTTTGGGGAGTTTCTAGGTCTCAGTGTCCCCGTCTATAAGAGGACAGCTGAGATGGGCAACCTGGAGATTGGGTCCGGCTTGAAGTTATACTCCATAGATGCAGAAGCGCTACCCACCACCCTCTTGGGGCTTTAAATATGGAACTCGGCAACCCATCTAAACATCTGTGACTGAGAAACAATGAATCCGAGAGCACTGTCTGCATGTGTGCTATTTGGAGGCGGTTGAGAAACCATCGAATCCATGCCCCTGGGGCACAAAATACTACTACGCCATTATCTTTTTAGTACTTCTAGGGGATTTTTGAAACCTGGGTTCTGTCGCTTCGTTTGGGTCCCTTGTCCAGCCCTTTTCAGGGCAGGTCTGGTGCCTGGGATCTTATCACATGTCGTGGGGGGTGGGACTGTGGGTTTTGCAGCCAGCAGGCATTACACTTCTGGAAAATATCTGGATTCTTCTGTAATATACAGGCGTGGCTGCCATGGAGAAAAAGTTAAAAGGGGACCAGGACTAGTAGGTGAATGTATCCTTCTTCTCCACCCTGGAGAAAAAGCCCAATGGAGAGAGGGCCCTAGATTCAAGTCATATAGCCTGGAAGCACCATCTCCAGGTTTAAGTTTTGTCTTGCAGTGAAAACAGATGGGTCCATCTTACCCAGCCCTTGAGGCTCATTGGGCAGCTTGGATGTGAGAAGCGCTCCGGCTGCTATCCTGGAGTGGGCAAGGGTGGCCCTCGAGATTCTGGGTTTATTCTTTGGATTTCCAGGGTTCCTGCTGCTTCCCCAGGAATGCAGGGCCTGGCCCAAGACTTGGGCTGTGAGAGGCAAGGGCATCAACTCTCAAAAATGTGGAAATGGCCATCAGAGCGCCAAGGCCAAACCCCAGGGGAGAGGAATCAAGGCCGTCTCTGGATCCCTAGGGCAGTCTAGCCATGGTGCACAGGCAGGGGCAATTGTTGGTACCCACTCACAACCGCCCAAAACTTCACAAGCATGTTCATATTTTAAATTCTTAAATATTATATCTTGCATCCTAATCTTGTAAACATTAATTTAGCAAACATCAATCGCCTACTTGGTCAGGCACTGGGTTCTGAATATTAATTAAGACAATGGCCTCGAGAACCTTTGCAAGAAGCTCACCAGCTAATCCTGGAGAGGCCCCTTGTTTTGGATGAGGAAATCCAGGTTCTATGAGATTAGGTGGCAGAGGTGGGATTTGAACCCAGACCATGCTAGGGTGTTTCTACTCCTTTTCCAGGGATCTTGGCCCCACCGTTGAGATGGATTTCTTCTGGCCTGCGGGAGGGGCACCAAACTCTTAGTCCATGTGTGGGGGTTGACGGGTTTGTGAGGGCAGATGTGGGGTGAGGACTTGAGTAGCCCCAGACTAGATGCAAGGCTTAAGGAGGAGGGGAAAAAAGCTTGCTTGGGCCGGACGCGGTGGCTCGAGGCGGTTGGATCACCTGAGGTCAGGAGTTTGAGACCAGCCTGGCCAACACGGTGAAACCCTGTCTCTACTGAAAATACAAAAAAAAAAATTGGCCGGGCTTGGTGACGGGCGCCTATAATCCCAGCTACTCGGGAGGCTGAGGCACAAGAATCGTTTGAACCCGGGAGGCTGAGGTTGAAGTGAGCTGAGATCGCGCCACTGCACTGCAGCCTGGGCGACAGAGCGAAACTCCGTCTCGGAAAAAAAAAAAAAAAAAAGAGGTTGCCTGCTAGTCCACTGATCCCGCAGCCCCGCAGGCTCGCAGAACCCTAAGGCATGATTAGGCCTGGGATCATCAGGCCACCCTAGGGTCAGGTGCGGAGGCCTGCGACGCCCGAGGGCCAAAGGCTCCCTCTTCCGGTCACACAGGAGAGGGTATTTTGTTGGGGGACAGGTTTTCCCCAATCACAGTGCAGCTGCAGTCATCGTTTTCAGCCTTCTGAGCACCTTCCTGGCTGAGCCTGCTGTCCATTTCACCCCTCAGCTCTCACGGCCCGGCCAGGCCAGGCGGTTCCCGGCTTCTCTGCAGCCGCCGGCGGGGGAGGAGGGCACAGAGCGCGTCTCGCCTCTTAGCGCACGGTCAAGGTTGCGCTCCCCTCCCGGGCCGGGACTAACCGTGGGAAAGGCGCTACCTTGGCCACTCGATTCTCTCCCTCCAAGGCCTGTACAAGGAGCCTTTGAACACGCTGCTCCTTCCAGCCGGCAGCTTTACCTCCCCTGGCCCCTGCCCCCGCACTCTCCGCGCCAGGCCAAGCGCTGGGCCCAGGGACAGCGCGCTCTAATCAAACCCGTGTCCGATAAGCTTCTAATTAAAAGAGACCTCCCTCCGCTCCGCAGGCGCTTTCACCACTGCCCCTCCCGGGGGGACCTGAAGGAGAGGGTTTGAGGCCGGTCTTTGCCCGCCGAGGTCTGCGTGTCCGGTCTGGGAGGAGGCCTAGGAGGGCTCGCGGGCCACGGGCATCCTTGGGCCCGAGTTCTGGGGTGCGGACGGACGTCTCGAGAGTGGGTGCCGCGACTCGGGACCCACGGCCCTCGCCGGGCACGGACAGTTGCGGAGCAGGGCTCTGAGGATTGTGCAGTGCCCTGGGTCCCTGCCTACTCCTGGGCTCAGGAATGGAGAAGGGTTCGTCTAGAGAAAACTTCTTCGTAGCTTCTATTTCGTCTCTCTCTCTCTCTCTCTCTCTCTCTCTCTCTCTCCCTCCCTCTCTCTCTCTCTCTCTGTGTCTGTCTCTCTTTCTCTCTCTCTCTTTTTAGTGTCCTTTCAGAAATTCGGCCTTCACTCCGGGCAATAGTGGGTGCCCTGAGCCAAATTTCGTTTGTAAGCTCATCTATAGGCCTCAAAGAAGGCCAGGCCTCAGGTTTCAAAAGGAAGTCTGTGGAAGCCCAAACGTGCTCGCCCATGCAGGAGAGCTAACGGGGCCGGGGGTTATCTTTGCCCACTTAGCAGGAGAGAAATGGAGGCCCTCGAGGTCATATGATAAAAGCTAGTGGCTTCTCAAATCCCCAGTGTGTGGTGCTGAGCAGTGTGTGAGACTTAAGCCTGGACCTGTACTATCCGGGAGTTAGGATTTGCCCCCTCCTTCCCTCCCTTGCACTCTGCCACACCACCCTCCAGGCTCATGCCTCTGTTGCCCCAGAGAAGCTTTTTTTTTTTCTTTTTCTTTTTTTTTTTTTCTGGGCGGGGGGTGGTGGTGTGTGTGCATGAGCGTCCGTGTGTGTTTCGAAAATGGAGGTAACGATGCCCTGGGTCCTGCTCATCGGCTGAGTCCTGCTTAAGTCTTTGGAGGCACTTTGGTCAAATAGTGCAAGAGTGGGAGAATGGGTGCTGTTTGACCCAATTTACTCCTGAGAATTTTGTGAAGTTTGGAGACCCAGGGCAGTCCTGGGCCAGGAGGATCTGAGGCTGCTGGGGTGGCCCTGCCAGGATCCCATAGGAGCAGCTCTCCTTAGCCATTGTGTCTGGACTTCAGGCCACAGACTCCGGAACTTGTAGAGGAATGAGACCCCATCCTTGGGTTCCGGGGCCAATGACGTATCTTTAGCCGAAGGATCCTTTTCCCCAGAGGCAGCAACAGCTTTCCAGAAGCTTGTGGGGTATAAGTTTAAAGCAATTTAATAACAAAAATTATAAAAGACTATGTTTTCCAACTGAGGCTCCACGCTCTTTTTCTCACTTTGGGGGGGGGGGGGAATGCTAGGATTTCCCTAGGGGGAAACTGAGGCAAAGGACCGAAGCACTACCATGGAGGGAAAGGGAGATACAGTGTCAGGCACACTCTAAAGGAAATTGGTTGTCCAGCCTGGGGAGTGAGGAAGTTGGCTCCTACAGCAGTGGTCAGGGTCGGACCCCTGGGCGCAAGGTGGGTCCCATAGGGGGGAGGAGGAGGAGAGCGCAGGGTCGCCATCTGAAGGCCCAACTGGAAGGGGCCCTTGTTTTCCCCCTCACCAGCTTTCCCTTGGGTGTCATGGTGTCAGGTCGGGTAGCCCCAGACAGATAACATTACTCGGTAATTACTCTTCCCATTTTTAAGACCAGGCCATTTAACTGGCTCCGAGTAATTAATGAAAGTTGGTGCGCGGGCCCCTGATTTACAGCTCGGAGTCAACGCGGGGTTAGCCCAGCAGATTCATTTCGCTTGCCCGCGCTGCTCCTGCGGAAGAGCTGCAGTTTATTTTTGGGGGGTGAACAACCTTCTCTGTCGATCAGGCAACGAGTTTTATACTTAATTTGCCAGGGGTTCGCTGCAGAAGCGGCAGAGACCGTAGAAGACTGCGGCATAAATAAATTGGGAAAAAGCGAGGTGGGGGTTTTAGTCAGAAAAGGATGGAGAAGCCTGTCCCAAGGTCACATCCAGGGACTTGGGCCGTCTTCCTGCCGAAAGTCCTGGAGGCTTGTGGGGCTGGATTCTCCTCCGCTGGGGGTCCGAATGCGGGGTTCAGCGCACACCCCCCCCGCCCGTGGCTGGTTCAGACCCACTGCCCCGTCTTGCGAGAGCACCGCTGACACTGTGCTTCTCTCCGCCGCTCCCGCAGGTTACAGCACGGTCACCTTCGACGGGACGCCCAGCTACGGTCACACGCCCTCGCACCATGCGGCGCAGTTCCCCAACCACTCATTCAAGCATGAGGATCCCATGGGCCAGCAGGGCTCGCTGGGTAAGCGAGCGGAACCAAGTGGAGTCCTTCTCCCCTTCTTCCGTGCTATCCTCCTCTCCCCCAGGAATTCCTAACCCACAGCAAATTAGGCAAAGGAGGACATCTAAAAGGACCTTAGAAATCATTACCCCAATGGCACTGTATTTAAAGGACAAGACTGGGTCTCCCTCCATCCCAAGTACGTTAGGGACATCGCCATCCAACTAAGTCTATGAATGTCCGGAGGGCCTTTTTGGTGCACAGCGCAGCGACTGCTAGGGGAATGCAAAGTGAGAGGCTTAGCTTCTTGCATTCTGGACGGCCTCGCTCTGCACGCCGCTCATCCAGGCCCCAGTGCCCCAGGCTCAGGATCTCGTGTCTCCCCCAACCCCTGCCCGCAGCCTCGCACCCCGAGCCCTTGGGGCGCACTCGCTCAGCTGTCTTCGGTTCTCTCTGCAGGTGAGCAGCAGTACTCGGTGCCGCCCCCGGTCTATGGCTGCCACACCCCCACCGACAGCTGCACCGGCAGCCAGGCTTTGCTGCTGAGGACGCCCTACAGCAGGTAGGAAGGCGCTGGGCTCTGCGTCTGGGTCCTTGGGACCCCGGAGGGGACGCATGAGCCGGCGGACTTGGGAACGCCCCAGCCGGGCAGCCCTGACTGCGGGCATGCAGGGTCTTGGAGGCACGAGACGCCTCGACTCCACTCTACTACTTAGAGGAAATTAAAGCTGATCTCCCTGGTCTCTGAGTTGTTCTTATGTTGTATAAAAATGAGGACAATTACTCTTTCGAGCTGAAGAAGGAGCGGCGCTCGAGAAGTTATTATTTTTAGAAGGTCTTTACTGGGAGGAATTTACCTTCATCGGGACTAAATATTAAACACGGAGTCCACTCCCACTCGGTTCTGAGACCTCAAACCCATCCAATGGCCACACCGGCCAGACTACCTCGAAGGCGCGTACCTTCGGCCACAGCCTTGGCCACAGCCTTCTCCCCACCTCAACCCTCCAGGGTTTCGACCCGTGGCAGCGCTTTGTGGACGTCGTTCCCAGCGCCCCTGCTACGCTCTGGGGTGGGCCCCCGGCCGGGGTGCAGGACGGAGATCGGGTCGCAACAGGGCCCTGCGGGGAGGCTGCTCTGGCCCGCGTGGGACCTTCTTCCTGTGAGCGGGAGGCCCAAGGCCAGCTTCATTCCCTTCCAAGCTTTTCCCCGCTCCGTGCTTCCTCTTCTCGCCTCTCGCTCCACCTTCTCTCCCCCAAATTTTTTCTTCAACTTTGGGTGAACTTGGCCGGCCGCCCGCGTCTGCGATAGGGTTGCCTAGTAACTGCGGCGCACACCAGCCCGCACGGGGCTGGAAGTTGGGGCGGGGGCCGGGGAGCAGCAGCGCGAGGCCTGTGCGGCCCGGGATTGGGCGCGCATGACCTCATAGCCCCCTCCTCCCTGGTGCTCGGGGATCCTGACACCGGCTGCCCCCAAACCCATCCCCATCCTCCCTCCCCTCCGCGCGGGGACCCGGGGCTGACGTCAAGGGAAGGAGGTAGTGAGGTCATGAAGGAAGGAAAAGCGCCTGCCCTGGGAGATTGGGTGGGGGAGTGGCCGCGCCTGGGGGACTGTCCAGTCCCGCAGGTGGAGGAGGGGCGGGAGTCCTCGATCCGGAGCGAGGCGCAGCCCCAGGCCCTTGCTGCCTTTACGAGAGTGAGCCCGGGGCTGGCCTGGCTCTCGCATCTAAGGTTCTCCTTCCCGGGAGTTTCTAGAGAGGTGCAGGGATGCGCCCCTTCTATTTCTAACGCCTGAGGCGCGCGGACTGGAGAAACCTTTTTTTTTCCTTTTTTTCCCCCGGAACATCCGGTTTATCTATTCGAAACTTGGATTCCTCATCACACTTTTTTTGGGCGGGTGGAGGCAGGCGGTGGGCAAGAACACCAATGGTCGCACCTCCCCATCCTTCTTTTTCTGCGTCCCTAGCTAGAAATCATTCCTGTTCTGCACCACAGGCGCGGCATGCTGCCCCAAGCCTGCCACCTCAGCGCCTCCCTTCGGTGGGTAAAGTCTTTGGAATGGGGGCAGGATTCGCACCTATTCTCTGAGGTGAATCTCCTTCCCTAGCAAAACTGGCAGCGGGGCCATTGCCATTCTTCTTGTGTAGCTGCTCCTGCCCATTGCCAGGGTGTCATTGCTGTTATTCTAGTAGCCATCAGGCGGGCTGTTGGAATGGTTCCCACGTAATGACCTTGGTCCACCCCTTCCTCCTTAGCTCCCTGTGGACTCAGTTGGTGTGTCACACTAGGCTGAGAGAAGACCTTGATGCGGGAGTGGGCACTGTCGATATGGGAGGTGTTCTTGGGGGTTGGGGACTGGAAGACCTTGCAGTCTGGTGCCTCAGTGACTCGAAGCTACACACACATCCGTTACTTCCCTCTCCCAAGCCGAGACTCACCCTGTGGGACCCTAGGAAGGGGTCCATCAGAGGACCTGGCAGCCTTGAAAGAGGAGTCCAGGAAAAAGCGATCATTACCACTGGTTTAATAGCAATTCTCCAGGGTGCCTATGGTGGATTTTGACTTAGGTCTGATTTTGTGGTTGCTAGGGAAGTAGGAAACATCACATAAATTTTCACGTTTTCTAATCCAGCTTCTGATTGGCCACTGTATTAAGCACTTCATCAAATTCACCTTTCAGAAGTATTTGTTTATTTCTATCTTCTTTCTTTATAATTGAGGAACTTTCTTTGGTCCTGTTATTTTTACACAAATCCAATAAAAATACTATTTTTCCCTCTCACAGAAAATTTCCCAAGTAGTAACATCTCAAAAAAGAATTTGTGACCCCTGTAGGAAGAGTTTGTTCCCTTGGAATTTGTGCTGTCTGGATCTTGAAAGCTCCATTCACTCTAAATTAACATTTCCATTCAGTTTTCAAAGATCATGTGCTTCCCTTGCAGTCTAAAGATGAATGGGCAGGTGTAGGAATGTTTTAAACCTGGGTCTGTGCACCAACATTACTACAGTTATATGGTTTCCCTCTTTCCTACTCCTAAACAAGTTTGAAAGGGTATTTAAATGCTTTTGTGAATGTAATGGTTGAAGAAGCATAAAAAATAGGACTAAACTTTAATTGCTTAACACCCTAACTTTTGGATTTTAGGTATTCAGTGGTGCTTCTACTGGTCCCTGGTTTCATTCATTTTTTCTCTCTAAAGTTTGGGACTTTCTGGGGAAAGCTTGCTTGTATTTTGTTTGCCTTGTTGCATTTGACCCTCTGAGGCTGACTGCCCAGCTTTTTCTCCCCCTCCCTCACCAAACTTTTTCTTCCCCAGTCTTTTTTTTTTTTTTTTTTTCTTTTCGAGACAGTCTCACTCTGTCGCCCAGGCTGGAGTGCAGTGGCACAATCTTGGCTCACTGCAACTCCATCTCCCAGATTCAAGTGATTCTTGTGCCTCAGCCTCCCAAGTAGCTGAGATTATAGGTGCTGGCCACCATGCCCAGCTAATTTTTGTATTTTTAGTAGAGACGGGGTTTCACCATGTTGGCCAGGTTGGTCTCAAACTCCTGATCTCAGGTAATCTGCCCACCTTGGCCTCGAAAAGTGCTGGGATTACAGGTGTGAGCCGCTGTGCTGGGCCTCTTCCCAGTCTTTGGATATACTTTCCCTTGTCAGTCTAAAGAAAGGTAATGGTACAGATCTGACATTAAATAAGCAAAATACAGTGTGGAGTGTGCTTTGAGGACATTCTCAAAATCCCAGTTCTTCCCTTGTCCCCTGCACAATTCCCTCCTTTCTCTCAGGTGACAGTTCTGAGGAGTTGCAGCTGCATATATATTTGTTGTGGCTATGAACAACAGTGAATAGAAAATACATTCAATCAGCAACTTATGGGAAATGACAGGAGGTGGTTTTCTCTATCCTCCTTACCCTCTCCTCTCATATACAAGGTGGGTGGAGTTTTGTGTAAAGGTCACTAGGGTTTCTGAAACCAGGTGTCTGCCCTTACGGAACCCAGTGATCATTGTTGGATGACAGCATGAGTCCTTATAATGTAATAACTGGAATTTATTGCATGCTGACTATATGTTGCTGTGCATGACGTTAAATGGTTCACTCAGTTTACCCATTTAACCCTTTTGACTACTCGTTGAGGCAGGTACTATAATTTCTAGTTTAAGTTCAGAGTCTCAAAGTAACTTGCTCAAAGTCACACAGCAAGTGAGAATCAGAATCAGGATTTGATCCTTAGTCTCTCTGACTTCACAGCCCAGCTGTGCTCTGAATCACTGAGTGACACCAGACCACGCAGGATTCCCTATCTGATTACTCCCCTTGTATAGGCAATGTATCACTTTTTTTTTTTTTTTTTTTTGAGATGGCATCTCGCTCTGTTGCAAGGCTGGAGTGCAATGGTGCAATCTTGGCTCACTGCAACCTCTGCCTGCCGGGTTCAAGAGATTCTCCTGCCTCAGCCTCCCAAGTAGCTGGGACTACAGGCATGTGCCACCACGCCTGGCTAATTTTTTGTATTTTTAGTAGAGAGGGGGTTTCACCGTGTTAGCCAGGATGGTCTCAAACTCCTGACCTTGTGATCCACCCGCCTGGGCCTCCCAAAGTGCTGGAATTACAGGCGTGAGCCACCGCACCAGGCCAATGTATCACTTTTGCTCATAAATCATAAGAGCACATGCTTATGTAGACTTAACATGCACCAGGTACCACTGTAAGCACTTTACAAGTGTTGACTTATTTAATCTACCTAGTGACTCTCTGAAGGACACAACAGGTTATCACTGCCATTTTACAGAGGAGGAAACTCAGGCCCTGAGAAGTAAATTTCCCCAGTGTGACACAGTTAAGGGACGGAAGTGGTGTTCAAATTCAGGCAATACAGCTCCAGAATCCATCCTCCTACCCTCTGCACTTGCTTTCTCTCTAGATGGATAAGTGCCATTCTCTTTGTGAAGGTGGCATCTGTCCTCAGTCTCACTCAAGGATGGTCTCCTATTTCCCACAGTTGTGAAAGAAGTCAGTTATCCATTAGTTTTACCTGTAGCTTTCAACAGAAAGTTCTTAGTGGTTTGGGACAGCGTTTTCCCTGAAGGCCATTATCAGAAGCAGGCTTGAGCATTCTCCTGAAGTTCTAACACACAGAGCAGTTGTCTTTCAAACTCCAGACTCCTCCAGTTTTGTCTTTACCACTGGGTGTGAACTGTTGGGGTGAAGTTCAGCCCAGGCACCTAAAGAATTGCAGGGCAGAGACCTTTCTCCCTGTCCATCCAGACCCAGAAAGAATGACTGCTTCCAGGACCACCCTGGTTTGGGCTTGCCCAGAGGGAAGGTACCAGGGAAAAGTTCTTCTGTCAGTGTAGGGAGTAGTGGGGTCCAACCTTACTAGGCACAATTTCCCCCCTAATTTCTACCTAGAAAAGGCAGCTAGCTGGGCCTTTTCTGCTGTCTTTCCTTCCCAGAGTCCCTTTGCCTCATCTTTTTGCTGACTTCCTCGGAGACCCCAGTCCTTGACTATACCGACTTCACATATGATCCTCATGGCTACTTTGAAAAGTTCTGTGCACTGCGTTTGAAAAATATTCCCATGCACACTGATTGTTTCTTTTAGGCATTCTAGCCCTTTCCCTTTCCTTTTGCTCTTTTATTAGGTTTGCATATTCTTCTTTAGCAACTGTGCTACGAATTTAAATGAAGATATTTCCTTTTGCTGTACTTTTGCCTGTTAGCAGGTGAAACCACTCCGACTCTGGAAGCAATCATTCAATGTTAGTCTGTTTTGAACTGGATGTGATGATTCACAAATGGTGACATTGACAGTGGAGCCTGTTACAAGTAGATTATTTTTCATATGAGAGAAACTTCCTCAGCAGCCATAGAGTTTCTGGGAAATCTTGGGTTCCATAACTCAGTGGGAAGTGCCGATCTACCACTTGGGTTGGCCTTCAACATAGACAGAAATCAGATGACAGCCCATGCCCAAGAAAATAAAATTGTAATTAATAATGCCTCTTTTCACTTGTGTACCTATGTACATTGTACACTGCCTTTTCCCTTAGTAGAAAATCAATATTTGTTTCCTGCAATGATAGGCAGAAGGTGGAAGGTCTGAAACGGCTTCCAGGGTGATGGGCAATGTTATCAAAGCCACAGGCTTGAATTAAACTCGTCTCCAGGGAGGAGGAAAAATCTAGTTCCAAATATTCCTGTAACTTTTGTGCTGACCAAGTGTTTATTAATAGAAATGGAATCCCCAGTGGGTTTTTCTTTGGTTAGCTGGTGAGCTTGAGAGAAATTACAATACCAAGAGAGTGACTGTGAAATAATTATTCATTATGGCCTGCTGGGCAGAAATTTCTAGGCAGGCAGGCTGCAAAGCACCTCAAAGGGAGGAGCACAGGAAAAGGGTGTGTGGAAGTCTGGCTGCACCCTCTGTTAAGTTATTAGGTAGAGGTACACCCACAGAGGCCTTTCTGTTGGTGTGGGACACAGCTATTACCGAAAAAGCTGGAAACATGAATTCTAATCACAGATGCCAGTTATGTCTACTTTGAGCCTTTTTATTTTTTATCCTCTGGGGGCAGCTCTTTACTTCTTCCAAGATGTTACCTGGCCAGCCAGCAGCTACGTGGCAGAGGTGACCCTGATCTCAGCCAGGTTAGATGGTTCTATTCCCTTGATGACACAAATTATTCTGCTGAATATAATAAACAGACTTAAAGATGAAAATGTGCTTGAATCACACATGCGTTTGAAGAGTGGAGGAGTTCTCATCTAGATAACAGCTGAGGCTTTTTTTCTTCCTTTCTTTTTGTGCAGAGGTCGAGAACTTAATAATACTGCAGTTCAGGCCAAAACAAACTCTATATGATCTACTACTGATTTCCTTTTAAGCTCCCCCTTTTTGCTAGGACTGACTTCCTTTTATTTTACTCCAACTTGCATTAATCCCAGTTATAGAAGTTTCTTTCCTCTTTCCTTTGCCTCCAACTTCAAACATTCTTACATAGGAAACAAGTGACTTTAAAAAAAATCTACTTAAAAAATATAAAGGACACCATGACTTTTGGAATACATTTTGGCAGCCTGCAATTTGAAAGTTCACTTCCGAACAGGCAGAGTTAGACGGTTGGAGCTGAAATGCCTACGTGACCACAGTGGTCGCTGTAAGCCAAACCACCTGCTTATCTGATCTCCTCTGGGAATGAGGTGGTGGCACCTACAGTGGTTATTGAGTAATTAGATGCTTCATTTGCCAGAGGCTCTATATTCCTTGAACGAAGCTGCCTCTTTCCATGGGCTTCCATGATGAGAGCTGGGTGTTGAGCGATTGCCCAAAGAGATCAGAGCCTGAGCATGCTTCGGCCCAGTATTTTTAGCTCCAGTTCACATTTTTGTCCCCTCCCCAGCAGCCGTTATTGTCATTGCTGTCATTGACTTCCATTTGAAAGGCCGTGCCAGCCAGGCCCACTGACTGAGCAGCTGAGGAGCCCCAGCCAGCAAAAGGCAGGATGTGGTTAAAACTGTGCTCTGATCCTATCTCTGGCCTCAGGAAACCTATTAGTAGCTTGGGGATTTTCTGAAAGTCCTTCTGTCCCATACATCCTCCCCACCTTCTCTCCTCTTCTGAGAGTTTGCAGGCTAAGCTATCAGGACAGCTAGAATGGCAAAGGGGGCTTCTATTGGGATCTTGGCACTCTGCCCTTAGTGAGCTGAAGAGGACACATGGGGCATCTTGCAGCATCGTCATTTTCTAGAGACTGAGTAGGTCATGATGCTCCCTTGAGCATATTCTCTTTCACCTCCAGACTCTTGTCTGTATTATTGTTATTATTATTATTATATAAATGGTAATGAGAGGATGAGGCTCAGGATGCCTTCATAGGGGCAGGGCAGAGTGAGGGTGGGGGCTCAGGCATGCCAGCACTGGGCATCTCTCTGTGCCTCAACCCTCATCTAATAAATGGGGACTCAGAATTACATCTGCCTCACAAAGTTGTGAGCAGTATTGAGAATGTGTGAAAGTGCTGTGCAAAATTTGGTAGGTTAGAACAAATTAAAGTAATTAAAGTATATTATCTGTATCATCTTCAAAGGGCCATTGAGGGCATTACCTTTTATGGGCCTCACAACATTTCTGTACAGTTAGACTGATGGAGATTAATATTCCCATTGAACAGATGAGAAAACTGAGGGGCAGGGAGCTGAACTGATTTGCTCAATGTCCCAAAACTTATAGAACATCACTGTCCAATAGAAACATAACACAAGCCATACATGTAATTTGAAATTTGCTAGTAACCACATTCAAAAAATAAGAAGCTGTGGAATTAATTTTTCAAATAGCATATTTGACTCAATATAGCAAAAAATCTTATCATTTTAATGTGTGGCATGAGTCACATGTGGCCAGTGTATACCATATTAGACAGTACAGTACACACTAGAAAAAGTCATATACGTAAGACATAGACCTTGTATTTGAGAAGATTTGCCTTCTGAGGGCCAAGAAAATGCCATTAAAAATATTGGCCAGGCACGGTGGCTCATGCCTGTAATCTCAGCACTTTGGGAGGCTGAGGCGGGTGGATCACCTGAGGTTAGGAGTTTGAGACCAGCCTGACCAACATGGTGAAACCCCATGTCTACTAAAAATACAAAAATTAGCCGGGCATGGTGGCAGATGCCTGTAGTCCCAGCTACTTGGGTGGCTGAGGCAGGAGAATTGCTTGCGCATGGGAGACTGAGGTTGCAGCGAACTGAAATAGCGCCACTGCACTCTAACCTGGGCGACAGAGTGAGACTCCGTCTAACGGAAAAAAATGTTTATTTTCTCTTTGGGGTACTTCCTTACAGAGACCTTAGGAATCAACCAGACTATTCTTTAAGTCTGTGAGAAAATTTCCAACTCATAAAGTTAGATATTTGGGATTCATTCACCCTTCTGCATCAGCGTCTGTCACTCATCTTTCTTTCCCAGTTCTCTTGAAAATTATGATTTTCTGAGTTGTGAAAGGATGAAATAATTTCAGAAAGATCCCATATCCCCAAAGGGCCTAGGAAAATTGTCAACTGGGGCTGAGTGATTTTAGTTGGTGAACAATTTTTAAAAAATTAGTGACAAAAATATAGAGCTGCCTGGGGAATACAATGCCTGTTGGCTGAGATTAATGGTAAGATTAATAAATGGATTGCTTGATGAAAAGGCGCAGGAGAACAAAAACCAGTAGAGAGATTGTGGAGGAGGCCGCTTATTAATGAACTGTCAGCCCAAAGAAAGTTCAAGAAACTCTCCTGTGGTAAATGCTGCAGGCTGGCACTTCTAATAAAAGTTGGGGTCCTTCAGGAATTAATTACTCCAGCCTTACAGCAAGAATTTGTGGAATTGCAAAATGTTGTGGCACAGACCAGTACGGGCTGCTGCTACAAACAGGGAAGCTGCAGGAGAAACTCATCATTTTTTTTCATTGATATGTAGGATATTGTAGTAGCATAATAGCCAGTCAGACACGGGGATGAGTGACGGCGTCCAGATACACACTGACTAATGAAACGGCACATACTTTGAGTTTGAAGTCACTTCACTTTTCATATGCAAAATTCCCTCCTGGAATCTGATTTCCTCCTTATCCTGTGTACCCACCACTAAGGAGTTCCAAATAATTTTCAGAGTTATTATATGAGAGTCAGATGGACTCTGCCATGATTTATCACGCTATGCGGACAGAGAGCACAGAATTCATTTATTCTGAGTTGCTGTAATTTCCCTCTCCCCTCCTCAAGTTCCCAGTTATGCTTGGCCTGAAAAAAGCCTTTCTGAATTAAAATTTGGTGTTGCCTCTGCCCAGTGAAGCAGCTTAAAAGAATGCCATGACCAGACAGAGATGGTCCTATATCTGCAATCTGATACCACACATCGGATATTAAATGCCTCTTATCTTTTTTCATTTCTGCCATGAAGGTAGAGTGAAATTTTTCTTCTGTAAAGTGTTTAGACCAAGAGGTCCCAGAAAAACTCTTGGTCTCTTGGGTCTCAAATTTCATAATTAACCATTTCAGTTCAGGCATAAATTTATTCCTGATGGAGCTTGGTAATTTAGGAGATTTCTGGCAATTGATTCATGTGCTAATTTTCTAGGAATGAGATAAATACAGAGGGGACAGAACAGCTTTTTGTTGGTTTACATAGCGGTGTAAGACTTCTTTGGAGTCTTAATGTAAATGATAAGCCATTTCCCTCATAGAGTCTTATAGAACTGGGCTCTTTTTTTTTTTTTTTAATTTGACTTGTACCAGGATTATAAAACATATAGAAAATGATTCCTTCCGCTGTGCATAGAGTTTATCATCGTCTTTCTTCTGCTTGTCACATCCTTGCTTTTTAGACCATTTATCACCCATCACTCTGACTTTTCAGACCCTCATAATCCACATGATACTTATCCTTTTGATTAAAACAACTTAATGGCCTTTTCACGAATAATTAATCTGCTGTCTTTACTTTCAGCTCCAGGCTTTTAACTTTAATGTTGAGTTATCCAGCCTGTGTTGCCTTTCAAAGTTTCACTCCCCTTAGCCTTTTCCCCTCAAAGGTTTAATACTTCTTTAGAAACTTCAATAGTTGCTATACAAAGGTTTTAAAAAATGCTTCTGAGTTACTCTCACATCCCTTCTGCTGTGTATGAAGTGTATAACTGTGCAGAGATCAGTGGGATGAAATGAAAATAATTCAGATTTGCATATTCTGTCATTCTGGAAAATGTGGAGGCTTGCACTTTCAAGAAAAGTTAAAACTCCATTGCTTTTGAAGAAACAGTTGTGTATTATTTTGTGGTTATGTGTTTCTAACTCTAGATGTTTTTCTAACAGTGACAATTTATACCAAATGACATCCCAGCTTGAATGCATGACCTGGAATCAGATGAACTTAGGAGCCACCTTAAAGGGGTAAGGTTTTCTCTATTCCATTGCCTTTCCACAGTAACTTATACCTGTTTGAACCATTTCAAAGGTGCTTAGAACTTATGAAGAAAGTACAGTTTTAGAAGAAAGGGCAAAGCTCTCTGTGACATTAGAACGCTTTCCTCCTTCCCCTAGTTGGTGAGTTGTGTTCAGTATTAAATTTTCAAAAACATAAATGTGGGTTGTTTCTATCTGGAACAAGGAATATTGAGGACACTTATTATGGTCTTGTTGAATGTTTTATAATTCTTCAAAGGCTATTCAACCTCATTTAATAATTGTGTTTTACTATGATATCACAGTTGTTAACCATTCCACTATCTTATCAAGAAGTGCTTTGGGTGTGCAAAGTCCGGGATCCAAATTTGTATTTGTGTGATGCTGATCTGGGCAATTCACAGTCAGATACGCCCATACCTGATTGCACCAACAGGGTTTTTCTTTCCATACTTGATAATACAACCATAATAGGGAGAATACAGCCAGGAAACATCAGAAGGAGCTACTCTTTGCACCTAAAAATGAAAAAATAAAAAAAAGAAGGCAGGTGGGACTTGCTTTCACCATTGAAAGAGCTCACTTTTCATTTTCTACCAAGTGTGAAGAGATGGGCAGTAGCATAGAACACTCATGAAGTGCCTGCAGCGTGTCAGGTGTCCTTCCAGGTTACCTCATCTTATCTTCCCAACACTCTCATGAGAGCTAAGTACTGCTTGGTTTACAGATAAGTAAACCAAGCTCAGAGGGTTAAGTTACTTCCCAGGTTCACATCCTACTAAGTGCTAGAGCTGGGATGCCAAGTCCAGATCTGATTCCAAAGCCCAAGCTCTTTGCAGCCTCCGGTGGTGCCTTCCACCCCACCATTGGCCCCAGTGGGACTGGGGACTTAGTTCAGCACTCTTGATAGCTAGCTTGATGTCTCTGTGTATTGAGGGGCTTTTCACTGGATTCTGGGATCTGGGGGGCTTGCCAGATCCATGCATGCTCCATTCCCCACTCCCCACCTCTTCTTCTTTTCTAGAGTTGCTGCTGGGAGCTCCAGCTCAGTGAAATGGACAGAAGGGCAGAGCAAGTGAGTGGACAATGCGGAGATGGCAAAGCAAATGGCGTAGGCCTTGCTGACTGGCACCTGGGGCAATGCAGGAGTTAGGACTGACGTGGGTAATCAGGGTAGCATTTGGTGGATGGGAAGAATCTCTCTCCCCCGCCCCCACCTCTTCTTATTCATCATACACATGCTGGGGACAAAATGGAGGGAGTAGCATTTCTCATCAACATGCCCCTGGAAAACAATGTAAAAAATTATGCAGCATCCTGTTCATTTCTTTGTGAATACTTCACAAAATACTAAATACTAAATTTGTGGCATTACAACCATAATGCCACATGTTCCTGTTAGATCAGTCAAAGCTTTCAGTCTTAACTTGCTTCTTCTTTATTTACCTTTAAATCTCTCAGGGAGAACTTACCCTAAGTCTGAGGCCAGGCTTTGAAAAGACTTGTTTTTTGTTGTTTTTCAAAGTTTGTTTTTATTCCCAAACATTCGCACCTTCCCCAGCCCTGTACCCTGCACCTTGGGGAATTTCTGTAGCTGTTTCTTTTTCTTCTCTCTGCTTTAACTCCACAACCAGCCGCCCTCTTTTCTTCTTTATTGTGTGGGCCCAGTCCTGTTATTTGGTTCATCCTTCAGTAATCAACAGAGTTGTATTTCATCTTCCAAGACTTACTGTTAGGTTCTTCACCTCACCCCCGCCCCCAAATTTTTCAGCAGTTTTATCCAGATCTCCTCTTCCTCTCTCTGGACCACAAAGAAAAGGCTTTCTGTTGTTTTAAATTATTTCTCTCCTGTCTTCCATCTGGGGGACTGCTGACAGTTTTAGCATTCTGTCTTTCTACCCATTCTCTTTTCTTTTTGAGACGGAGTTTAGCTCTTGTCGCCCAGGCTGGAGTGCAATGGTGCCATCTCGCTCACCGCAACCTCCACCTCCCGGGTTCAAGCGATTCTCCTGCCTCAGCCTCCCCAGTAGCTGGGATTACAGGCATGTGCCACCACGCCCGGCTAATTTTGTATTTTTAGTAGAGATGGGGTTTCTCCATGTTGGTCAGTCTGGTGTCAAACTCCCGACCTCAGGTGATCCGCCCACCTTGATCTCCCGAAGTGCTGGGATTACAGGCGTGAGCCACCGTGCCTGGCCTTTCTACCTGTTCTTAACTCGTCTTAAGTTCCTTGGCTTCTTGGTCCCACCCTTTCTTTCTGGCTCCCTTCCTTTTCTCCTTTCTCCTCTCCTCAGAACTTGATAACCTTCCCCAAGCTAAATAGCAAGGATAGACAGAACATGATTGTGAAGTGAGCAGTACATTTCAGTTTCAAAAACTTCTTCATGCTGTAATACAGGGGCTTGTTTGTTCAGTTACAAAAATTACAGATAAGGAATTTGGCATGTATTTGCAGCTGGATATTTCCATGGTTAAGATAATTTCGATACTTTTTAAGGTCTTTAGACATGTACTGTTAGTCACTTGCTGAGGAGGCAGAAGCTGTATTATAAGGATGAAGCACAAAGTGTGAACAATTTGTTCTGTTCAATCCTACATAAGAAAAAAATGAGAAGAGTTTTCATTGGTCCGTTACTTACATCTTAGAAAGGATTTCTGAAATAAAAATGTATTTCTTTTTTTTTTTTTTTTTGATATGGAGTCCCACTCTGTCACCCAGGCTGGAGTGCAGTGGCACGATCTTGGCTCACTGGAACCTCTGCCTCCTGGGTTCAAGTGATTCTCCTGCCTCAGCCTCCTGAGTAGCTGGGATTACAGGCATCTGCCACCATACCTGGTTAATTTTTGTATTTTTGGTAGAGACAGGTTTTCGCCATGTTGGCCAGGCTGGTCTTGAACACCTGACCTCAGGCGATCCGCCACACTTGGCCTCCCAAAGTGCTGAGATTACAGGTATGAGCTGCTGCGCCCTGACTAAAAATGTATTTCTTGGCCTGGCATGGTGGCTCACGCCTATAATCCCAGCACTTTGGGAGGCTGAGGTGGGTGGATCACTTGAGCTCAGGAGTTTGAGATCAGCTTGGACAATGTGGTGAAAACCTTTCTCTACAAAAAATACAAAAAAATTAGCCAGACGTGGTGGCACATGCCTGTAACCCCAGCTACTTGGAATGCTGAGGTGGGCGGATTGCTTGAGCTTGGGAGGCGGAGGTTGCAGTGAGCCAAGATCAGGCCACTGCATTCCAGCCTGGGCGATAGAGTGAGACCCTTCCACAAAACAAAACAAAACAAACAAACACAATATATATGTATATTTCTCGAATATTAACTTTATTCAGGGAGCTGTTATAAAAAGGGCTAGATGGCCCAACAGATAGTTCCACAAAAGAACAACTGTTTTGCAGAGCAAAAATTACAATTAGCTAATTGCCTACCATCTTCTCTCACACTGTAGAACATACTGTAAATCCACGAATTTCCGCTTCCATTTTGTGAACTGGACATTTATCTAAGGATGTATATAAACAGTATTGGGTGCCGTGTGAGGGGCTGTACATGTTTCCTCTTCTGATCTGATCTTACAACACCCCCAGGACACTATGGCCACATCCAATTTTTTAGCTGAGGAGGTGGAGAGATTAAGCTATCTAACCAAGGTCACATAGTAAGTGAGTGGCAGAGCCATGTTGGAATCAGTTCTGTCTGACTCCAGGACCTGGGCCCTAGATTAGAGCTTCTTAAATGGGTGGAAACCTTTTAGACTGTGACCACAGTTAGAAATACCCTTTACAGTGAGATCCCATATACACACATGTGCACACACATACACACACACAACATAGATTTTCACTGAGCAATACTCTTATGACATGCTCTGCATGCTGACTTTTTCTCTCTATCCTATTTCATTTTTTAAAATGCTGATTGTGATGTACTAGATTGATTTTACAACCCACTGATGTGTCATGACCCACAGTTTGCCTCACTTTTAGCATTCAAACATGGTGACACCTTGGCTGTCTCCTCCAAACTCATGAACAGCCCAGAACTGGATTTAGTTGAATCTGTAATTCCAGTAGAAAGTTTGGCCTTTCCCCAGGGGAGACCAATCTGGGTTGGGGTCATTGTTCTTTGTGATACTGGATTTACTTTCTTTTGCCATGGTATGAAAAGTATTAATATGGAGAATACATTTGAGAAAAGGTATTCCATGAAGACAAATTCAGACACATAACTTTTTGTGTTCATTCATAACTAGTGTCTTGACACTGTTTGAAATCAATGTTAAGAAAAATCATGTGACAAGGTTGATCTATTACAGGAAAAACTGGTGATTTGGTTCATGTTTTAGAGAAGAAAGATGTAATTTCCATATCACTCATAAAAAAGAGGCATTATCAATTTTTTATTAAAAGATCATGCACCTCAGACTAAACCCCACTAAATGCTGGTTCGGGTCTTCTTTCCTTGAAAATGTTTCGTTTCAAAAAAGTGGCTTCACAAAGAATAGGTTTGTTTCCTTGTATCCCAAGCAAGTCCACGGAGACATCTTTCATTAGATGTCAGGGAGCAGTGTTACAATGGGTGGGGATAGGATTTTATAAAGAACATGGGCAGATGAAATGAAAACTTGCTGTGTTAGAGGTGGGATATACTTGTGTGACTGAACCGCTCCTTTCTCCTCCTTCTCCCTTTACTCATTTTCTAATTTCTGCATACCCACTGGGATCACAGCTACTTTTATGACCTCCAATGGGAGAATGTATTTCAATTTAAGTCAGTGAGAAGGTACTTTACGGAAAGTACTTTCTTCTCCCTCACCCCCAAACAAATGAAATTAGATTTTTAAAGTGGGTCCCTGGGAGAAAACGTTGCTGGGGAATCTTTCTGAGTATGAGTCCACCATTTTGAAGCCTTCTATTGATGGTGCCTTGTGTTATCTGCTTTCTATTTCTTTGAAAACATTTTCTGTGTGTTCTCAATGGCTGCTGATTTCCGAACAAGCCTCTCCTACCCTGTTGGCCTCTGTTTTGTCTCTTCTGAAGAAAATATCCTGCAAAATGGAGAAACACATCAACCTTGACTGTGATCCAAGTTATTAAAACAAGGAAGAAGTTATTCTCTGGGGACTCGGGTAGGGGGAGTGGGAAATCGAACACAATAGAAATGTGAAAGGAGTGCTCAGCAAAATGAATGTCCCTTTGCTGGTCCAAGAAGTTCACAGGCTGTTGGGAACACACAGTATTCAACCTGTGGATGCTTGAGAGGAAAAACAAAAAAGACTCAACAATGAGTGATGTGTGGTGAAAACAAAGCTGTGCGTTTTGGTAGGGCCAAGGCTGTCGAATCTGGAGAAAATCCCCGCTAGACATGGTCTCATCCCTGAGAACCTGTGCCAAAAGAGATAGCTGTCTTCTCTGGCTGGGAGCTCCAATACACAGCCCAGCACCTTCCCTCGCGGGCTCGTGAACATAAGGTATCCGTCCAAGAGATTTACTTCTTGGAAATAGATAGCTTGCTTTTAAGTGGCTCCCGGAGCCTGAGATGCAAAGTGAAGGTGGGGAGCCTCAGTTCTGTGAATATCAGCATTGCCGAGCCTACTCCATCTCCACCCCCAGCAACAAGTTATTAATTTTCCACCGTTTAAAGTTTCATTTAATGCCATTTAAAGAGTTTTTTTTCTTTATTATTGCCTTGCATTGGACTTGGCCTGAGGTCTGTTAACCCTGCCAACCAGAACGAAGAATGGGACTCCAGGGTTTGATAAAGATGGAGACTCGTGACTTAGCTCTGTGTCCCTCTCACTTAGTGTGGACTGATTCGGAAGCTTCTTTCCTTTGCTTCTCACTTTTCTGCTTCTTCTTTCTCCTCCCTGGCTGTTGGCCTTTTCTATCCTTTTATTTTTGGACATGCATTTGATGAATGTATTGAATTTTTTTATTATGTAAGTAATGTGTATAAATTATAGAACAGTTAGAAAATACAACTACGCAGAGAAGGAAATTAAAACTCCCCCCAAAAGCCTAGATGAAACTATGATGATAATGATGTTGCACAAAATTTTAGACCCTTTCCTGTCCATGCATGTACATTTGTGTCATTTTCTTTCTTACAAAAATGATTGGCTTCAGGTGAGATTCAATTCAGCAAATGCATATTTATAGGCCATCACGAAGTTGTCATGATAGCTTTGACTTCTTGAAAATATTCTCAGCCTCTTAAAAAATATTTATGGGCTCTGCAGACTTACCTCCATACCATGATTCTAACTATTTTATTTTAAAGCAAGGAATTATTTTCATCTTGTGGAGGTGAGGAAAAATGCTAGGTTTGTTTAGATCTGGAGAAGAAAGGAGCTGAATAGGAAAGATAGGAAAGAAAGGTTGGGATGGAGAAGGGGCCAAGTTGGAAATGAGAAACAGTGATTGTAGCACAGGGAGGTGAAGTGAGGTTAATGAGGATTGATAAAAGTGTGTGTGTGTGTGTGTGTGTGTGTATTGGAGAGGGAGAGGTTACATCAGATGAGTGGAAGATACCTTAATGATCCAAAGCAGTATTTGGACTTCTCCTATCCCTGATCTCTTCTGAGACCCTCTACTCACCATTTATCCTTCTGCCTGTCATCTGCCCAAGAAAAGATCATAACCTCTAGGTAGAAGAACATTGATCTGGAAGCTACACTAATAAAAAGTTATCCAGAAAAGTGTTTCTCTGAAACAAGGAGCTACTGCATATTTTAGTAGGAGTTTTTCTATTAAAAGCGAACAAGTTTATTTATTCTAGCTTTATTTCTAACTCTTCATTTTTAAAACAACAGATGTAGTTCTGTATGCCTAGATGGCGACTTTATCTAAAATGAAAACAGTTATTTTCTCCTTGATTATAAAAGTCACACAGGCTTATCATTTTTTAAAAAATTCAGACGGGACCAAAACATTATAAAGAGGAAAAGAAAATTAATCTGTTGTCTCACCACCCAGAGATAACTGTTTAAAAAAACATTTTGAGGTGTATTTATATCTTCAGAGAAAAAATTCTGGAAACATTTATCAGACTATTAATTGCAGTTACCTCTAAATATATTAGACGGAAGAGACAAAAGCCTGAAACAGATGGATTTAAGAGACAAGGAGAGGAGGTAAAGATCATGCTTTCATGGAGTTCTGCTGCAAAAGGGAGCAAAAAAATGGGGTTCTAGCTGGCTGGGGAAAGAAGGTCGGGAGAAGGAGTGGTTTTGTTTTAAATTGTTCTGCTTTTATTTAGTTATTTATCTTTAGATAGAAGTATCTGTATGTTTGTTTGCTGATGAGAATGATCAAGAGGAGGAAAAAATGGGGCAGGCATGGTGGCTCACACCTGTAATCCCAGCACTTTGGGAGGCCGAGGCAGGTGGATCACTTGAGGTCAGGAGTTTGAGACCAGCCTGGCCAACGTGGCGAAACCCTGTTCTCTACAGAAATACAAAAATTAGCTGAGCATAGTTGCACACACCTGTAATCCCAGCTGCTCGGGAGGCTGAGGCAAGAGAATTAATTGCTTGAACCCAGGAGGCGGAGGTTGCAGTGAGCCGAGATCGTGCCACTGCACTCCAGTGTGGGCAACAGAACAAGACTCTGTCTCAAAAAATACAAAAATAAAAAAAGAAAAGGAAAAAAAGAGGAGGAAAAAAATGGTCAATGGGAGGGGACAGAATCACTGGAACAGTGTCCTTGAAGGAGGTGGGAGAGAAGGGGCTCCATAGATAAGTTGGTGGGGCTGGCTTTAGCCAGAAGCTGGGATAGATCATCTAGTAACAATATTAATTTATAAGAGTTCTTTCTGCCAGGCTCGGTGGCTCATGCTTGTAATCTCAGCACTTTGGAAAGCTGAGGCAGGAATTCAAGACCAGCCTGGTCAATATAGCAAGATCTCATCTCTATAGAAAACAAAAAAATTAAAAAATTAGCTGGGCATATTGGCATGCCTATAGTCCCAGCTACTTGGGAGGCTGAGGTGGGAGGAGTGCTTGGGCCCAGGAGTTTGAGGCTGCAGTGAGCTATGATGATGCCACTGCACTCCAGCCTGGGCAACAGAGACCATCTCTCTAAAAATAATAATAATAAAGAAAAAGTGCTTTCTTTATAAGAGTTATTTTGCTTGTCATATGTAATGAAAATATTTTCTCTGGTTTGTATTTTAATTCTGTTAATGGTTTTTTTCTGTCAGATATTTTTATTTTATGGTAAAAATAGTAAGTTTTTGTCTTACAGTTTCAAGTTTTTGACTTTTCGATCATGCTTAGACTTTTCCCATCCCAAGCATTTTAAAATATTTAATTATTTCTGGTATTTTTTAAATTTTACTTTTTAAAATAAAGAGATGGAGCATGTCACACTCAAGCAAATAATAAAATAATATTTATGTTGATCTAGGGGCATCTGTGCCAGGTTGCCAGCAGCTCTGAATGTGGATAATCCAGTATCTATTCATTCCCCAAATAAGATCTGATAAGTGCATATGAAAGTGACTTCTGAAATTACTTTACTGTGGCTACAGGGAAATTGGATATTCATTGAGTAAAGTGTTAAACCTAAGCACTGTGGCATAACCACTGAGAATTCCTAGGGAATACTCCTGGATCTTTTGACCCTAAGTCTCTTAGGGCTGATTAATTCAAGTCCAGCAATCTGTGGTTCATACGAGTACACAGTAAGTACAGAGTACAGTATTTACACGGAGGTTTATTGTTTTGTTGTATTTTGTTTTATTTGGTAGTTGTCCTCTCCTAAGTCTAGCTTATATTATAACAGCCCCCTCCTCCCTTTTCTTCTCAGACTATTGGTTTATTGGAAATAGCAGGTCAGTTTTCTGGTAGAATATCCCACAGTCTGGATTTGGCAGATTGTTTTATCTTACAGTCTTTTAAACTTGGTCCTCTCTC
This sequence comes from Homo sapiens, assembly GCF_000001405.40. Taxonomy (NCBI): domain Eukaryota; kingdom Metazoa; phylum Chordata; class Mammalia; order Primates; family Hominidae; genus Homo; species Homo sapiens. Next base: position 32,408,644 of record NC_000011.10, on the reverse strand, counting down.
CCCTGTGTTTCTTTTTTTCTGTTCTTTCTCTTTCTTCCTCTCTCTCTCTCATTCTTTCCCTCCCTTCCTCTGCCTTCCTTCTTTTCTTTTTTCTTTCTTTCTTTTTTTTTTTTTTTTTTTTTTTTTTTTTAAGACGTAGTCTCCTTCTGTTGCCCAGGCTGGAGTGAAATGGCCCAATCTTGGCTCACCGCAACCTCCACCTCCTGGGTTCAAGTGATTCTCCTGCTTCAGCCTCCCAAGTAGCTGGGACTACAGGTGCCCGCCACGACACCCGGCTAATGTTTTGTATTTTTTAGTAGAGACGGGGTTTCACCATGTTAGCCAGGATGGTCCTGATCTCCTGACCTCAAGGGATCTGCCTGCCTCAGCCTCCCAAAGTGCTGGGATTACAGGCGTGAGCCACTGCGCCCAGCATTTTTTTTTTTTTTTTTCTGAGATGGAGTTTCACTCTGTAGCCAGGCTGATGCGATCTCGGCTCACTGCAACTTCCGACTCCCTGGTTCAAGCGATTCCCCTGCCTTAGCCTCCCGAGTAGCTGGGATTACAGGCAAATGCCACCATGCCCAGCTAATTTTTGTATTTTTAGTAGAGATGAGTTTTCACCATGTTAGCCAGGCTGGCCTCAAGCTCCTGACCTCAAATGATCCGCCTGCCTCAGCCTCCCGTAGTGCTGGGATTACAGGCATGATCCACCGCGCCTGGCCTCCCCTGTATTTCCTAGAGGCTTGATTCGATTTGGGTTTCTTTTTTTATTTTCTTTTTTCCTTTTTCTTTCTTTCTTTTTTAGGTAAATGTAATTGATGAGTGGCACTGTGTTCAGCCTCTTCTCTTGTGTTTAAACTTTAAGGAAGCATAGTTTCTTAGCATAGATCCTTAAACAAGGGGGTGATGGTTCTCAAGGCTTGCAGCGGGGTTTATTGTCAACACTGAAAAGAATCAGGCATTTCAGCATCTCACGTATGAGCCCTGAGTATCGAGGGTGGGGAGAGAAGAGGGGTTGATGGGTAAATTCCATGTTTTAGAGACACAAGAGTTTGAATGTCCCCAGGTGCTTCCCTTCAATCTGATTAACTCTGCAGAGGGGAGAAGACGGAGGTGAAGATGGGGGGATGCCTGCCTGGCCAATAACTAGAGGTGGGAGAGAGAAATGACAGGCCGAAATTCCCCCTTTTTGAATATTCATATGAATGCTAATTGCCTTCCAAAGGCTCTTTTTCTTTTCTCTCTTTTACTTCTTCTGTTGATAAGGGATTCCAGGGCGGCTCTGGTTTTCCTCATCTGTAAAACCTCAATTCCTTTTTATTAATCTTCATGTGCCTGTGGAATATCAAAGTTAATCATTTCTAAAGAAGCCACTCTTGCAATGTTAAGTGTTTTGTTTTTTGTTTTTTTGTTTTTTTGTTTTTCCTGAGCCAAATCTCAATGTACGTGTTTTTAGCGGGAAGAGGGCTCACAATTTGTGTTATATGAGGGACATTTTTCTCTTTTTGCAAACTTTCTAAGGAAAGTGTGTATGCATTTTTTGTTTGTTTTTGTTTTTGTTTTTGAGACAGAGTCTCGCTCTGTCGCTGAGGCTGGAGTGCAGTGGTACGATCTTGGCTCACTGCAAACTCTGCCTCCCGGATTCAAGCGATTCTCTCGACTCAGCCTCCCAAGTAGCTGGGATTACAGGCGCCCACCACCCCACCCGGCTAATTTTTGTATTTTTGGTAGAGATGGGGTTTCACCATGTTGGCCAGGCTGGTCTCGAACTCCTGACCTCAGGTGATCCGCCCACCTCGGCCTCCCAAAGTGCTGGGATTACCAGCATGAGCCACTGCACCCGGCCGTGTTTATGCATTTTAAAGCTGTCTAGGAAAAGCAAATTTTCTCAGGATACATTTTTATGCATCTTAAAGCTGTTTAGCAAAATGTACAGTCCAGGCCACTGCCAGAAGTGAAGCGCCAAAGTGCATGCTCTGCTGATAACTGCTTCTGCTTATTTTCCCAGTTCAATAGAAATAAATATATATATTTTTTTTTTGGTGGAGGGTAAACTTCATGCTCTGTTGCACATAAGCAGCCATTTCCATCAGTTAGCCTTGTGCTTTCTTTATACCAAAGGCCCCCAACCCCCGGGCCATGGACCGGTAGTGGTCTGTGGCCAGTTAGGAATTGGTCCTTGCAGCAGGAGGTGAGCGGCAGGCGAGGTAGCAAAGCTTGATCTGTATTTATAGCCACACCATCCCTCGAATTACTGCCTGAGCTCCACCTTCTGTCAGATCAGTGGCGACATTAGATTCTCATGGCAGCATGAACCCTATTGTGAACTACACATGTGAGGGATCTAGGTTGCACTCTCCTTATAAGAATCTAACTAATGCCTGACGATCTGAGGTGGAACAATTTCATCCCAAAACCACCCCCACCTCCACCCCACCCCTGGTCTGTGGAAAAATGACCTTCCAGAAAACTGGTCCCTGGTGCCAAAAACATGGGGGACCACTGCTTTATGCAAAACTACATGTTGTGCCTCCAAGTAGAAGCTGAAGAAGGCTAAAGTGGGAATGTTTCAAACCTGTCCTTCCCCACTCCCCCAACTCTCCTCTACCCTAGTCCTTTCCCTCTACCCCAGTTCACCTTTAAAACCTTCAGCATGCCTAATTTCATTCATCCCGCTGGAGAAAAGAGCTGGGAGTCGTTCAAGTCTCATGATGATAAAAGTGAACCTGTAGGGTGGGGTTAATACCACCAGGATTATCCAGCTCATTTGGAAGGAAGAAAAGCACTGACCTGGACTCAAACTCTAGCTCTGCCACTTGCCATCTGACTGTGGGCAAATAACGCAATGTCTCCTTAAACCTCAGTATTCTTTGCTGTAAAATGGGGATAATACTACATAAGCAACAGTTTAACACTTATTGAGTGCATACCAAGCACTGTGATTTACTTACCTGACCTATTGCATCAGTCTGATGCGGGAAGTGCTGTAATTTTCATTTTACATGAAGCTGAGGCCAGGGAGGAAGTTGTCATTTGTGTAAGGTGATGGAACTTAATGAATGACTCCTAGGGTTCTAAGGATTGAAAAATATATATATTTATGTATAAGTATATATTCTGTATATATTTATATATTCAACATATATTTTATTATACATTTATGAATATATTATATATAACATATATGTATATTAAAAATATATATATTTTTTACAGACAGAGTCTTACTCTTGTCACCCAGGCTAGAGTGCAGTGGTGCCATCTAGAGTGTGTGTTTTATTTGACCCGACAGTGATTCTTTAAAATTTCAATTATTCGCAAGAACTTATAACTCAGGTGCTCTCAAAAAAGTCCAGATTTCCTACTTTTCTTTGAGAATGGAAAAGTATAGCAATGCTGGGTTCACATTGTTTACAGTTATTGGCTGGGAGAGCTGAGTCGTGGCTGCCTCTGTTGGTCAGAGGGTGATGTGGCCAGGGTAGCCGTCCCTGTGAGTTCAATATCGTCTCATTCTTTAGGGTCGCCTTCATTTTACTTGTCTTACTTGGCCCCTATAGGAATATTTGAGTTCATGGCTCTGTTTTAAATTAAAAAGAGTCAATCCATATTCTGACCAATTTAGCAAACACATGAAATAACTGCCTCCTTATCCAATAACCGGGAAATTCATGGAGAATAAGAGAGGTGACCGAAGAGTTGAGACAGATAAATGTCTTAGTTTTCAAGTAGGAAAAAAACCCAGTGGATTCTGGAAACCACAGAGTTAGCATGAATTCTTGGAAAAGTTATTAGGCCAGATCTTTGAGAACAAGCTGGGGAGAAAACAGGGATCATGACCAAGGTTGGTTAGTGGTATGCAAGACACGTGCCCAAGTCCGTTTCTTTTTGGGTAGAATTACCAGTCCAATAGTGGAAGTTCACTAATATTGTGGCTCTTCATTGCAAAAGATATTTGATATTTTTGATGTCCTTGTGGACAAGGTAGGGGATGATGGACTAAATGCTTAAATGGATGATTTGTGCTTGGTTGAACAATAAAACCAAAGGAACTGTTGTCTAAAGTATCTTTGTCAAGTTGGAGAGTGGCTTCTAGCACAGAGTGGTCTCTGTGGCAGGACAGGAGAAGCAGTCATATTACCCTGAACCTCCTCTCCCGTGACTTTACCTGCCTGCCCCAGACTCACCGTTCTTTTCCCCACTTGGAACCATAGCCTCATGACACCTTGCTGTCAATTCCTGTGATCTTCCTGACTATCTTGGCCAAGGACTCATAAATCCCTTCTCCCTGTCATTCAGCAGGGTCAATTATCTTATGTCTCAAAAGGAAGTCTACTAGGAAACAAAACAGAAAAACATGAAAACTGTTTGAAATCTTTTTTTTTTTTTTTTTTTTTGAGACAGAGTCTTGCTCTGTCGCCCAGGCTGGAGTGCAATGGCACGATCTCGGCTCACTGCAACTCCGCCTCCCGGGTTCAAGCGATTCTCCTGCCTCAGCCTCCCAAGCAGATAGGATTAGAGGCACGTGCCACCATGCCCAACTAATTTTTGTATTTTTGTAGAGATGGGTTTCACAATGGTGGCTAGGCTGGTCTCGATCTCCTAACCTCGTGATCCGCCTGCCTCGGCCTCCCAAAGTGCTGGGATTACAGGCGTGAGCCACCATGTCCGGCCTCAGTCACTGAGTTTAGAGGATGCAGAGAAGAGCAGAGAGTCTTTGTATTCAAGGCCAAGTTTACAATGGGGCAGAGGAGATACACACAGATGGCTGTAAAATAGTAATATTTGCGGCTGGGCGCGGTGCAGTAGCTCACACCTGTAATCCCAGCACAATGGGAGCCGAGGCGGGAGGATCATGAGGTCAGGAGATTAAGACCATCCTGCAACACGTTGAAACCCCGTCTCTACTAAAACTACAAAAAAATTAGCCGGGCGTGGTGGCGGGTGCCTGCATTCCCAGCTACTCAGAAGACTGAGGCAGGAGAATGGCGTGAACCCAGGAGGCGGGGGTTGCAGTGAGCTGACTTCATGCCACTGCACTCCAGCCTGGGCGACAGAGCCAGACTCTGTCTCAAAAAAAAAAAAAAAAAAAAGTAATATTCATTCAGTGGTTCTCCAGGAGTCCGAAATGAGAAGACAGATTTCAGCTTGTTTTTAAAGCTCTCCTAAAATGGAATGGGCTATCTTGAAAACTAGTCACCAGTCATGTTGATCAACTGTTGGGCATAAGCTGGAAGAGATTTCTGCTCCAAATGGGGGTTGGTGTAGATGGCCTTTCTGGATCCTTTCTATCTCTATTAGTCTATGGTTCCCAGACCGAGTTGCTTTTTAAAAACTTATTTAGAGAGAATTGCTACCACATCAGATGCCAGTACGTTGTACTTGGTGTTCTGGGCACACTACATTGGGAAGTGTTGAATTGCAGGTTTCCACAGTGTGGAATTGCATTGGTGTGTTTGTCCTTTGGAGACCCAAGTCCCCATAGGCGGGGGCCTGGCTGTTTTTTTTTTCCTCATGGACCTTGTAGGAGAATCCACTGGCATATTTGGCAGGTACAGTCTTGTTGCTTGTTGCTTCTTTTGTTTGTGGTTTGCATCCAGCTGTGCAAATTGCTGTTCCCTTTGAGTGTCACACCACTTAATTTCATGAGACAGTTGTCTTCAGGAAAGTCTGTTCCCATGCCCCCACCCTCCAGGAACCCAGCTAACACCCAGAGCTTAGCTGTCAAGACAGATTTCTAATTTTTACCCTTCGATGGCAGAACTTTAATGTTGTGTCCCTAGAAATCCTTCAGCCCTAGAAAATGTGGAAAGTAGGCCAGGGGCAGTGGCTCACTCCTGTGATCCTGGCACTTTGGGAGGCCAAGGTGGGAGAATCACTTGAGCCCAGGAGTTTGAGACCATCCTATGGAGGACTTAGCAAGACCCTGTTTCTACAAAGATAAAAATAAAAATCAGCTGGGCATGGTGCGGGGCACCTATAGTCCTAGCTCTTTGGGAGATGGAAGCAGGAGGAACAATTGAGCCAGGGAATTCAAGGCTGCAGTGAGCTATGATCGCACCACTACATTCCAGCCTGGGCAATAGAGCAAGCTCTAAAAAAGAAAAAGAAAGAAAATGTGTAAGTCACATTGTGGCTCCATGCAGATGACTGAAGCAAGCAAAGGCAGCTTCTCTTCACAGCCTTTGAGGCAAAATGTTCTGGCAGCACCATGGCACCATTCTGGTACTGCCCTCTTTCTGCTGCCAAATGGCCATTGTCATCACCTCTCACTTTCCCACTGTCTGTACCAAGTAATTGAAAGGAAGGCAGACACAGCCTCTTTCTCCTGACAAACACATTCTAAGGGTCAGAAGGGCATATGTTCTTTGGGTTTGGCATTTTTGCCCAATTTTTGCAGGTTTGACCCTGGGGCTACTTCTTTGAGACATTCCCCCTGCCCTAGATAAGTCAAAAATTACTTGAAGGATGTGGAGACAAGATATGGTAGGTTAGAGGGGCAGGCAGTTCTTTCTAAAATGCTTAGAGCCAGAAGTAAATGTGAAACCCTACAGCTTCTGTGGCCCTAGGGGGTGTGGACATTTCAGTTGTCCTGGCAGACACTCTTTCCTTCAGGCACTCTCTCCTCTGGGTGAGTGAGTATTGGGTCAACTCCAGGCTTCCCCACACCACACCAGATGGAGTGGGCTGATCCACCCACCAGCTTACCTGCCTCCCTGCCCAGGACCCCTGGAACCAACTGTTAGAGTAATGGAGGCAGAGAATGGAATTCTCAGTGCTGACAGCCAGTTTAATCCCACCTGGAGGCTTTTAAAAATGCTGATGCGGCTGGGCCTGGTAGCTCACACCTGTAATCCCCGCACTTTGGGAGGCAGAGATGGGTGGATCATTTAAGGCCAGGAGTTCGAGACTGGCCTGGCCAACATGGTGAAACCCCATCTCTACTAAAAGTACAAAAATGAGCCGGGTATGGTGACGTGCGCCTGTAATCCCAGCTACTCCGGAGGCTGAGGCAGGAGAATCATTTGAACCCAGGGGCGGTGGTTGCAGTGAGCCAAGATCGCACCACTGCACTCCAGCCTGGGTGATAAAGCGAGACTCCATCTCAAAATAAATAAATAAATATACTGATGCATCCTTCTCGGACCACACCCCCCCCCGATAATTTTTTAAAAGCAGATTTATAGATTGCACGGACCGTATGATTCACCGATTTAGAGTGTACAATGCAATGGTTTTTAGTATATTCACAGTTGTATGACCATTACCACAATTTTAGGACGTTTTCAGCAGTCATTTTCTTTGCCTTCCCAACTCCCCCAGTTCAAGGCACCCAACCACTAATCTAGTTTCTGTCCCTACAGATTTGCTTATTCTGGACATTTTATAGAAATGCAATCATACTACATGTGGTCTTCTGTGAATGGCTTCTTAGCACGGTATTTTAAAGGTTCATCCATATTGTAGCATGTATTGGTACTTTATTCCTTTTCATTGCTGAATAATATTCCATTGTATGAAGATACTCTCTTTGATTTATCTATTCATCAGTTGATGGACATTTGGGTTGATTCTACTTTTTGGCTCTTAGGAATATGCTGCTAATGCACAATGTATACAAGTTTTTGTGTGGACGTCTGTTTTCATTTCCCTTGGGAATATCCCTAAGAGTGGGATTTCTGGGTCATATGTTAACTTTATGTCTAACCTTTTGAGGAACTGCCAGATATTTTGCAAAGCAGCTGCATCATTTCACAGAGCTATTTCATAAGAGCTCTCCTCGGTGCTTCTAGGTGTAATTCTAATGTGCTGCTGGTGTGGGTGAAAAACCTCAGTCTGCCTCATCTCATCTGGAAGTAAAATAACTGTAGAGCAGATAGAGGCATTGTATCTGAAGGAGAGAATAATTTTAGAACAGAACATTCGTTCCTTTCAAGTTGTCCTTTTCAGCATTGCACATCTTTCAGCTCTTCCTATGTAGTCGAAGCTTAACCTGAGCACCAGTTAGGGGACTAGTCAGTGGAATGCTGGAGGAAGATTCTTCAGTGCCCACCTACAGCACAGGCTGGCTACCAAGAGTTAAGCTGATCTGGAAAACTGACCTGTCATTTAAGCAGAGTGAGGCCACAGATATGTAATCCCCACTTCTGAGGACATGACATCTCTTCTTGCGTCATCACTTTTTTGGTGCTATCTGGTAAAAACTGAGTCATGAGGTGCCGACAAATTCAGTGCACTTAACGTGAAGCTTGAGGCATTCTGCTCATTCCTGAGATACCTGCAGCTGTCAGCCCTGCCGTCTAGATGGTAAACAACTTGCCGAGGATGAAACCCTGCCACTGTGGTCTTCCTCGGCTTGTCTGAGCGAGACCTAGACCGTGACGGTGCACGCCTACGAGAATCGGAGGATGAGGGAGGGGCTGCGAGGTGGCGGCCAGGATCCAGGGGCCTCGCCCTCCGCAGAACCCTGCATCTAAAGTGGCCCCATGGAGGGAGGCAAAAACCAACTATTTTTGTTCTGTGAGCTTTAAAAACCATCATTCCCTCCTGATTGCAGATAAGCATTTCCAAATGGCGACTGTGAGCCACACTGAGCCTTTTTCCCTTCTTTGTGTTTGCAGCCACAGCACAGGGTACGAGAGCGATAACCACACAACGCCCATCCTCTGCGGAGCCCAATACAGAATACACACGCACGGTGTCTTCAGAGGCATTCAGGTGAGCACACAGACAGGCCCCAGCGGGAAGGGGGCCGCACTGCCTCTTCCTACTTACCGGCCCTTTAGTTCCTTACTGATGGACTCTTTGGCCCTGGCAGCCTCTTCTTCACTGCAGGCTCCTTTAACATCAGGGACACCTGCTCGTCCCCTGGGTCTGATAAGGCGGCTGTGTCCTCTCCTAGAGAGGCTGCCCCGCTGCCTGACGCTGCGCAAGATGCGTCCTAACAGAATCCTCTCCTTTCTGCCTTTACTGCTCCATTTGACTTCTCCAGGGCGGGCTGTGCAGCTTTTGTATTTAAGCTAATTGGGCTTGAATTAACCGCTTGGACCTTTGACTTCTAAGATTTGGTCTACATCGTAAAGTGTCCACAGGTAGACTCACATCTTGCCAAGTGTTGATGATCATCATACTAACTGTACCGCCTATGGCTGGACATTTTCTATATACTAGGCATTGTGCTAAGCTTTATACATGGACTTTAGAAAAATGGACTTTACCCTATTAGTACCATTTTGTATTGATGTGGTACATTTGTTATAATTGATGAGCCAATATTGATAAATTATTGTTAACTAAAGCCCATAGTTTACATTAGGGTTCACTTTTTGTGTTGTACAGTTCTATGGGTTTTGAAAAATGCATAATGCCATGTACCTATTATTCTAGTATCATACAGAATAGTTTCACTGCCCTTAAAATTCCCTACACTCCACCTGTTCTTCCCTCCCTCTTCTTCTCTTCCCAATAATCACCGGTCTTTTTTTTTTCTTTTTCTTTTTTTTTTTTTTGAGATGGGAGTCTCGCTCTGTCACCCAGGCTGGAGTACAGTGGCGCTATCTTGGCTCACTGCAAGCTCCGCCTCCAGGGTTCACACCATTCTCCTGCCTCAGCCTCCCGAGTAGCTGGGACTACAGGTGCCCACCACCACGCCTGGCTAATTTTTTGTATTTTTAGTAGAGACGGGGTTTCACAGTGTTAGCCAGGATGGTCTTGATCTCCTGACCTGGTGATCCACTCGCCTCGGCCTCCCAAAGTGCTGGGATTACAGGCGTGAGCCACTGTGCCCGGCTCGGTCTTTTTTCAGAATGTCATATAGTTGGAATCATACTAGATGTAGCATTTTCAGGCTGACTTCTTTCTCTTAGCAATATGCATGTAAGGTTTCTCCTTGTCTATTTGTGGCCTTTCCCCCTTCATTTCATCTGCAATACACACTTATGAGGTGGGTACTGTTATTCTCTCCATTTCATGGATGGGGAAACTGAAGCCCAGAGGTGATGAATAATGTCAGAATCACATCGCTAGTAAATATTGGAGCCGAGACTAATAACACAGGTCTTGCCTGACTTCAGACCCCCTGTTTATACCTACTTCACGATACTGCTTCTTAGGGAGGCAGAGGATGGTGAACAGTTTGTGGGAGGGAGAAGTCTCCAAGGAGCATGAAGAAAGTAAAGTATAAAGGTAAAAGTTTTGGAGAATTCAATAGACACTTTTGGTCTGCCACCTCCGTAGACCTTCAGTCTGCCTTCCCTGCAGAGTCTCTGTTTTGGGTGGTCAGAAGCACATACAGTTACTAAGGGTTTCATTTATGGCTTATAAACATCAATCCATGGCTGCAACCTGAGTAACAGCAGTGATACTTTCACCAGAATGGTCAGTACTCTAGATATAAGTTGTATCTGGGCCAGACCCCACATGATACGTGGGGCAAGTAGCTCTGAGATGTTCTGATTAATGTTTCCAGAAGTGTCACGAAGAAAGAACAGTGTGCTCCCTACTCCCAAGCCTTTCAATGGAGAGCAATAAAGGCAAGGGTTACAGAAATACGGAAATCTGACGACGGTTTAGGGAGACATCAAGCCTCTCCCCTGACGAATACAATCAGAATCCTTCACCGGGACCCTTACTGAGATTAACAACTCCTGTTCCCATGTGCACTGCTTCTAGGATGAATTAAGGGAAATGGAAAATGCTTCCTTTGCTTTCTTTCCCATCAAGCCCAGTTTGTCAGGCTCACTTGCCATGGCCTCTAAAACACTCCAGACCAGACAGGTATTGAGTATTCCAATCCAACAGCTGGCTCACCATTTAATTTTATGCCTTCATTATCCCTGAGACACTATGGCCTATTAACATCAATGTTGTGTTGTATGTCACTGCAGCATTTATTCTTCCAAAAAAGAAAATGACCTTTCAGTGCAGGGCAATGTGAAATAGGGACTAGAACATAAGCATGGGGTAGAGTGGAAAATGCACAGGGCAAGGAGTTGGTTATATTCAGAAGTGGTTCCAGGTCTTAGCACAAAACATGGATGCACTTTAGGCCAGGCATGGTGGCTCACACCTGTAATCCCAGCACTCTAGGAGGCCAAGGTGGAAGGATCCCTTCAGCTCAAGAGTTTGAGACCAGCCTGAGCAACATAGGGAGACCCTATCTCTACCAAAAAAAAAAAAAAAAATTAGCTGGGCATGATGACTCTCACCTGTTGTCCCAGCTGTTCAGGAGGCTGAAGTGGGAGGATTACTTAAGCTGGTGAGGTCGAGGCTGCAGGAGCCCCGATCGTGCCACTGCACTCCAGCCTGGACAACAGAATAAGATCCTGTCTTAAGAACAAACAAAACCAAAACATGGATGCACTCTTGTGTCAGCATCTCACCGCCTTTGGGGTTGATTTACTCATCTATAAAGGAATGAGGAGAATTTAGTGGCCACTCAGGCACTTGCTCAGCTCCCATTTATGACTCCCTGACCCCAAGAAGAGGAAGGGGAGCTTGCCTCTTTGTTTTCCTCCAGTTCTTATTCTTGGAAGACTGACAACACACACACTGCACTTCCACAAGATAAAGGGGAGCAACAGATGCCCTGCAAAGGACGTGTGCAGAGCACAGAAGGCAGATGGATTCCAGTGCTTTCTGGCCTCACTATTAAAGGTTGTGCTGGCTTCACCATGGCCTTCTGGTGGGTTTTGCTTCCTTTCACAGATGGGATCCCCAAATCCAGGGGCTTCTTCTTCCTTGTTATTTACTTATACTTGGACGATCTGGTCAGTTAGGGGCTCATTCATTATCCCACTTTTTTCTAATAAGGATGTCCCCACCCATTGCAGACTGGCTCTAGGTCATGTGGTCATGACTCCAAGTGGGAGGGAGTAGTTAGACTTTGGGACTTTGGACTTGCAGACATCACTACCTCAAGAGGAGAAGCTGAGAGATAGAATGGATTGGGAGCTCTTCCAGGTACCAGCATTTCTTTTGCAGAGGCTCTGGGACAGCCATTTCATGTAGGTTTCATCTCAACAGCCACTTCTGGTTGCTCAGTAGTGATGATCTTAGAGCACTGCATTGTAGAATGTCCTGATCTAGCATCCATTACTGATGTCTGCCATGGGGATCTGGAGTGTGAATGGGAGTGGTTTTAGGTCTGCACCTGCCACCCCTTCTTTGGATATACTCCAGTGCTCACTCTCCCTCAAGACCTACGTGAATGTTCACATGTGGCTTAAAGCCTCCCTTCCTCTTACTCTCTGCCTGCAGGATGTGCGACGTGTGCCTGGAGTAGCCCCGACTCTTGTACGGTCGGCATCTGAGACCAGTGAGAAACGCCCCTTCATGTGTGCTTACCCAGGCTGCAATAAGAGATATTTTAAGCTGTCCCACTTACAGATGCACAGCAGGAAGCACACTGGTAAGTGTGCCCGCTGTCCAGTCTTGGGCAAACATGGTTCAAGAGCTCCTTTTCCAGGCTCTCACACTGCTAAGGACCCAGGTTATTTCCAGGATGGAAAGTAAGCACTGCTTTGAAAGGTCTGATCCAGGTGTTGTAAAGAGGCTGTGGGGCCATTTTGCATTCTGATTATCTATCCTTTATTACAGAGGTCAGTAAACTGTCTTCCAGAAAGGCAGAGCAGAGTGGTAGAGAGAAAGTGCCACAGAATTAAAGAGACCTGTGTAGGAATCGTGTTGGTGTTAGAATACTATTAGCATTTCTAAGGAGAGAGGAGCTGGCCTGGGAATATAGTCATCAGATGGTTTTAGGAGGTCGATGGGCAAGATCATTGTGAAATTTTAGAAGAGATGGTCCAAAGAAAAACTTACCTGCTTGGGTCAGTAATAATCAACTAGACAGGAAGGGGAAAATTGATTGTTAGTTTGATTTTTTAGTGATCACTTAAAAAAAAAAGGTCAGTCATGGGGGCTCACGCCTGTAATCCCAGCACTTTGGGAGGCCGAAGTGGGTGGATCACCCAAGGTCAGGAGTTGGAGACCAGCCTGGCCAACAAGGTGAAACCCCGTCTCTACTAAAAATACAAAAATGAGCCGGGTGTGGTGGCACGCACCTGTACTTGGGAGGCTGGGGCAGGAGAATTGCTTGAACCTAGGAGGCAGAGGTTGCAGTGAGCTGAGATCTTACCACTGTACTCCAGCCTGGGCGACAGAGCAAGACTCTGCCAAAAAAAAAAAAAAGGAGAGAGAGAGATGATGATTTTTTATCTTTGAAGATACGCCAATGAAACTGGATTTTCCCCCAGGTCAGAGAGGCTGCTTCTGGGAAACAGAGAACTGGCATTGTTTGGTGTTGGCCACCTTGAATGTGGACAGCCATGTCACAGAACGTTTACTCTGGGCCTTGTGGGCACTAGGTGGGAGTGTGGGAGTGTGGTAAAACCCAGGTTTTCCTACAGAGGAGCTACTGCTGCCTTTTCCACAATCGAAGAACAGCATTATTATAGGATCACTGTTGCAACTGTGTTATTACTGCTGATTTTGCTCTTGGGAAGCTGGAGAAAAAAGTGAGCTGCATTCAGATTTCCTTGGACCATTGAAATTTGCTAATTCACTGTGTCCAGAGGATGCAATTCTGGTGTCAATCTGAGTTTGCACTCAGTGGGCCACAGACTTTGAGGCTAAAAAGGAGGGGACCAGTGGCATGTTATGTTTTTACACATTTCCCCAAATGGGATCATTTGAAAAGTGACTGTCAAGGTTATAAGGAAAACGAGAAAGTAAAGTCCTGCCTGAAAAATGCAAGGGAATAAATGAAGGCAATATGGTTGTAGAAACTTTTAGTGAGAGAGAAGCACTTAGAATGCAGTGAGGGTTAGACAACTGTGTGAAGGGAAGGCAGTGAACAAGACAGCCAAAACCCCAGACCCACTGGAGCCTTTAAGAAACTCTTCCTTGCAGAAGATGAGGGCAGGTTGGTATTTAACAATCCTACAGTCCCCCTTGAAAGAGAGCAATATTTTCTTATTTATTTATAACAACAGTACAGACTGTTATATTAAGTACTTTTTGGGTGTCAGGCTCTCTACATGTATATTTCATTTAATCCTCACTCACAAAACATTTATGAAGAGTATAGGATATAGCAGAAAGAGGACTCAAACTCCTTCTTTTTAACTGCAGGTTATAATCCTCCTTCTCAAAGAGTTCCTGGTTTGTTTGGGAGCTAGGATATAAAGAAATGAAAAGTGACTGAGAGAGTACATGATCATGTACTAAATCAGAGACAGGAGGTACCGAGGGGTTTGGAGGGTATCAGTTTGAACTAAGGTCATCCGAGAAAGTTTCTCAGAGGAAGAACAGCTTGGGTTAGCCAGTGGAGGCTGGTAGTTTGGGCAGAGAAAGTGATAGATGAGCAGAAGCTCAAAGGCAGGGGAAGGAAATCAGACTCAATAGGGGTAACATCTTCTCCAGCTCACAGAGGTGAAACATAAGGCACCAACCTGGATACAAATACAAAGAAAGGGGCCAGGTGCAGTGGCTCACACCTGTAATCCCAGTATGTTGGGAGGCGTAGGCGGGAGGATTGCTTAAGGGGTTCAAGACCAGCCTGGGCAATATAGTGAGACCCTGTCTCTAAAAAAAATATTTTTAAAAATTTAGCCAAGTGTGCTGGTGTATGCCTGTAGTCCCAGCTACTCAGGAGGCTGAGGTAGGAGGATTGCTTGTGCCCACGGTTTCGAGGCTGCAGTGAGCTAGGCTCACACCACTGCGCTTTAGTCTGGGCAACAGAGAGAGACTCTGTCTCTGAGAAAAAATAAAAATAAAAAGGCTCCAGCCCTTAGGATTTTCCAACCCATTGAAGAATTGTAGAATTGTAGACCCAGACACAGCTCACCACATTAGACAGCCTGGAATAAATGTCGTAATGAGGGAAGGAAGGGAAATTGGCCCATGCAGTTTCCAAGCAGGCATTGCAGAAGAAGGAGACACCCAGGAGACTTTTCGATGTGGAGATAGGGATGGGGGACATTTAGTGTGAGCAGAGTGCAAGGAGGACTTCAGGATGTGAGCTCTGGCATAGTGGGGAATAGAGATTCATGAGGGAAATAGCCCAGGCTTTGAGATTGGAAAGGTAACAGGGGGCTGCCTTTGCAACAGAAAGACCTGACTGATTCTAGAATGGCTTGTTTCCATCCCAGATGCCTGTGACTCAGGATTCTCCTAAGAAGGTGGGAAGGCCTGGGGTTGCTCACTTCTCTTGGGGCTCAGGTCCCAGTATTTGGCTGAACTTTCTCTAGTGAGGACAGGGGTGAGGCTTCTCCATTCTGAGACAGGAGGTTGGGTAATCCCACTACTGACTTCTCTTGGATAAAGCACACCAAAAACTTTCTCAGTGCTTTTGGTGTGTTTTGAGGGTCTCACAACCATGGAGTCATATTTGCTTGATGCAAGAACAAGGAGTCAGTAGCAAAGAACACCAGATCTTTGGGCCCTAAAACATAAAACTCTTATTTCATGAGGTTGACCTCAAGGCACATGCATCCCAGAATTCTGCCTCAGATTCTGCCTGGGAGTTAAAGATTTTGTTTTTTATTTGCTAATAGTTTTTGAGCACGCCTTCTATGCCAGGCTCTGGGCTGAGCCCTTTATGTGAAGGTCATAAATCCTTTAAAGTTGTTGGATTATTGGACCCATTTTACAATAAAGAAACCACACCTCACCCAGGGCTTTTTTTTTTTTTTTAATGGCAGAGCTAGATGTGAGCCTTGGGGCAGAATCCTCTGGCCCCTGAGCTCCCATTCATTTGTAACTTGCAAGTTGGGGATCATCCTACCCTAACAAGCTCCAGCGAAGTGCCTTAGGCATTTTGGGATCTGTTCAGTCCTAGTAGGAGAGGTTGCCTTTAATGAGATCCCCTTTTCCAGTATCATTTTCAAATAGAATATGTGTCTTCCCCAAGGTGAGAAACCATACCAGTGTGACTTCAAGGACTGTGAACGAAGGTTTTCTCGTTCAGACCAGCTCAAAAGACACCAAAGGAGACATACAGGTTTGTAGGTTCACTTCTCATTGCTGGCAGCTGTGTTCCCTTGGGCTAGGGTTGATTTCATGATTCTCTTTGTTGTTGAATATGAATGAGAGAGTCAGCCATGTGTTTAGTTTTTCCAGTATTTTCCCCCCATAATCTCTGGAGATGTTCCTCCTCTTAAATAAAGAAAAAGAAAGAAAAGGAAACACCCCACATTTCCCCTGCAAACCACAGAACAGTGAGATCCCACTAGCAGTGGGCTGATGATACACTGAGCATCAGCAAAGAATGAGGGTGATGGAGAGCGGAATCCAATTTGTAGCGTGTGATTCACTTTTCCTGTCTCTGACACAGCTGAGATCTTCCAGCTGGTGAGAAGCTGGACCTCTGTGGTTAAGGAATGGTTGTTCCCAAGACAGAAGCAGGTCCTTGAAGATTACTGTGCAGAATCAGTGATTCTTGTTGGGCCTGGGGGACTGGGGAAATCTAAGGGTGAGGCAGATGCAGACATTGCAGGCATGGCAGGAAATGCTGGGCTCCTCCAGCTGCCGGAAGTCAGCCTTGTGGGCCTCACTGTGCCCACATTGTTAGGGCCGAGGCTAGACCTTCTCTGTCCATTTAGGTGTGAAACCATTCCAGTGTAAAACTTGTCAGCGAAAGTTCTCCCGGTCCGACCACCTGAAGACCCACACCAGGACTCATACAGGTAAAACAAGTGCGTAAACTTTTCTTCACATTTATTTTTCATTATTTTTTTAAACTATTGTGGAATGAAATTGTGATGAGAGGGATTGGAAAAGACTAGTGTAAAAGTTCTAAGGTTTAGACTCAGTTGAGAGAAGGAATAGTGCGTGGCTATCTTTAAATAATAAATAATAACATTTTTTAAAGAAGGGGAGGGTGGAAATACAGAGAAGGAGAAAGATGGGAAAAGAATGGCTGGAGTGTGCAGAATGAAAATGAAGAGATAAGCCAGGTCCCTACTGTTTCCAGTTTGTTGCATCACACATTTTGTTACTCTCTTTGATACGATAATCAACTTTACAGAAAAGCAGCAGAAATTCTAGCAAGCCAAATATTTATTCTTCTGAGAGCACATGTTTAATGGCACTATTTTCAGAGAACTGAGTCCTTGCTCTGTTAAAAGTTAATGCACCAGGAGCGGTCTTGGTTTCTGCTGGACCAGTATCAGTGTGTGGATATTATTTCCTTCATACTAGTACAGAGAGGAGAATAGGGCATTCATTTACTGGCTGCTGAAGGTTTTTGCTTTCTGCAAGGCTGGTGTGATTCATAATAAAAATAGCACCACCTTTGTTGCATATTTTCTACCTTTGGAAAGAGCGTTAATATTTAGCTTATCTAAGTCTATCTTCACAACATGCTTGTAAGTAGAGTAAGGTAGGACCGGCTGTGGTGGCTCATGCCTGTAATCCCAGCTATTTGGGATGAGGTGGGTGGATCACTTGAGCCCAGGAGTTCAAGACTAGCCTGGGCAACATGGCAAAACCCTGTCTCTACAAAAAATACAAAAACTAGCTGGGCATGGTGGTGTGGACCTATAGTCCCAGCTATTTGGGGGAGGCTGAGGTAGGACGCTCACTAGACCTTGCTTGGGAGGCTGAGGCTGCAGTGAGCTGTGATCCCACCACTGTACTCCAACCCAAGCAACAGAGCAAGACCCTGTCTCAAAACAAAACAAAACAAAACAAACAAAAAAAAATGAGGTAGGCATGTTTTATTCCCATCTTACAGATGAGGAGACTGAGGCAATAATAATTCAATGGCTTATCTAAAGTCACAAAGCTAGTAAGGAGCAAATCCAGTTCTGTCTGCTTCCAGCCCACCTTGTCCCACTTGCTTCTTTATTGGAGAAGGGGCAGATATTTACTCTGCAGTCCAGGGAGCATGGAGAGTCAAGTAGAGAATCAAAGTCAGCAAAGCTGAACACCACTGAGAGACTGAGAGGAATGAAGATGACAAGAGACAGGGTTGGGATTAGTCCATTAGGAGCCAGCCCTTAACAGCACTGCTGGAGGTGGGGTTGGAGAGTGAGAGCCAGGCCAGGAAGAGCAGAGGAACAGCGAGTGAAGGAAAACATGACATCACAAACCCCTGAGCAGCCCCAGATTCTTCGCCCAAATTGGCTGCATTTAAAAACAGAGCCAAGGCACCTGTGGCCCATGGTTGGCAGGATGGGATCTTGCTTCCCTTCCTCAGGTGCCTTTGATGCTTCTTTAACTTAGTCCTGAGCTCATAATTCGGTGGCAAAGTGTTATAGTCCCTTTGACACGGCTGTCACACTCCCCAAGTAAGTGTGACATGACCTGTTTTGCCAGCAGACTGTTTAATACCACATTTGATTGGCCTCCAGTCTGACCCTGGGACACCAGCCCTCCTGGGACATTTCTCAGTGCTTGTCCAAACCAGTAGTTCTCAGAGAAGGCCAAGTGGGACCAGCAGTATCTGAGAAGATCCGTCAGGTGGCACAGGGTTTAGCTTCTGTGCATTCTTCCTTAAGATGGAGCTGCAGCTGCTTTTCCATCATGGCTAGGCCTGGGAGGTGTGATACAGGGAAGAGCACGGGCTCTGGAATTCGACAGACCTGGAGATTTGAGTTCTGCCTGGATCTGCCCTCAATAGATGTCCTACCTCATCTGTAGAGTGGGGATAATAACGCTTCCCCTACGGGCAGTTGTAAGGAGTACATGAGGTTGTGTGTGTGCGTGTGTGAAGCCCAGCACAAGGCTTGGCATATGTTAAGCATCAAATAAATGGTAGTTATTCTCCCTAATGAGAATGAGGCTTGGAAAGAATGTCTGAGGGCTCTTTGGGTGGAGAAGCCTCAATCTTTTGGCAAGCTTATTAAAAATCTAAGAACCACGCCCCAACTAGAATCTTCCATATAACAGGATTATGCTCTCAGTAACACTTTAAGAGAAAAAAAAAAACAACACATAACATGTAAACTGGTATCAGTGATTTATTTTAAAGTATCCAGCCCATCCAGGGTATCTACACAGATAGAAGTGTTAAAAGCTTCAGTCACAGCTGAGATCCCTGGACAGTGATCACTCAGTAATACCCAGGGTAGATGACCCAGAGGCTTCTGCAGCCCAGTTCATCTCAGTTCCCAACTTACTCAACAAGGGGGAGAAATTTACACAGTTCACAAAACATTCTATCAGCAGAGACTGAAACAAACGTTTTTCCCCTTAATTATGAATTGCTCAGACATTTCCCCCAACTTGACTCATTCTTTATCTCCCACTTTCCAAGTTTTCTGACCTAAGAATATAACTTTTTACAATATTTCGATCCTTAAAGCCCCAAGAGGTGCTGCTGTTTCAAGGCTGCCTGGGAAATGAGCTCAGTTGGTTAGCTCAGGGACAGAATGATGGGAAATTCAGAGTGGGTGCCTTGTGATGACTTCACTCGGGCCTTGATAGTTGAACTTGTGCCTGTCTCTTTGTTGCAAGTGTCTCTGACTGGCAATTGTGTCAACAGGTGAAAAGCCCTTCAGCTGTCGGTGGCCAAGTTGTCAGAAAAAGTTTGCCCGGTCAGATGAATTAGTCCGCCATCACAACATGCATCAGAGAAACATGACCAAACTCCAGCTGGCGCTTTGAGGGGTCTCCCTCGGGGACCGTTCAGTGTCCCAGGCAGCACAGTGTGTGAACTGCTTTCAAGTCTGACTCTCCACTCCTCCTCACTAAAAAGGAAACTTCAGTTGATCTTCTTCATCCAACTTCCAAGACAAGATACCGGTGCTTCTGGAAACTACCAGGTGTGCCTGGAAGAGTTGGTCTCTGCCCTGCCTACTTTTAGTTGACTCACAGGCCCTGGAGAAGCAGCTAACAATGTCTGGTTAGTTAAAAGCCCATTGCCATTTGGTGTGGATTTTCTACTGTAAGAAGAGCCATAGCTGATCATGTCCCCCTGACCCTTCCCTTCTTTTTTTATGCTCGTTTTCGCTGGGGATGGAATTATTGTACCATTTTCTATCATGGAATATTTATAGGCCAGGGCATGTGTATGTGTCTGCTAATGTAAACTTTGTCATGGTTTCCATTTACTAACAGCAACAGCAAGAAATAAATCAGAGAGCAAGGCATCGGGGGTGAATCTTGTCTAACATTCCCGAGGTCAGCCAGGCTGCTAACCTGGAAAGCAGGATGTAGTTCTGCCAGGCAACTTTTAAAGCTCATGCATTTCAAGCAGCTGAAGAAAAAATCAGAACTAACCAGTACCTCTGTATAGAAATCTAAAAGAATTTTACCATTCAGTTAATTCAATGTGAACACTGGCACACTGCTCTTAAGAAACTATGAAGATCTGAGATTTTTTTGTGTATGTTTTTGACTCTTTTGAGTGGTAATCATATGTGTCTTTATAGATGTACATACCTCCTTGCACAAATGGAGGGGAATTCATTTTCATCACTGGGAGTGTCCTTAGTGTATAAAAACCATGCTGGTATATGGCTTCAAGTTGTAAAAATGAAAGTGACTTTAAAAGAAAATAGGGGATGGTCCAGGATCTCCACTGATAAGACTGTTTTTAAGTAACTTAAGGACCTTTGGGTCTACAAGTATATGTGAAAAAAATGAGACTTACTGGGTGAGGAAATCCATTGTTTAAAGATGGTCGTGTGTGTGTGTGTGTGTGTGTGTGTGTGTGTGTTGTGTTGTGTTTTGTTTTTTAAGGGAGGGAATTTATTATTTACCGTTGCTTGAAATTACTGTGTAAATATATGTCTGATAATGATTTGCTCTTTGACAACTAAAATTAGGACTGTATAAGTACTAGATGCATCACTGGGTGTTGATCTTACAAGATATTGATGATAACACTTAAAATTGTAACCTGCATTTTTCACTTTGCTCTCAATTAAAGTCTATTCAAAAGGAAAGTGGCAAGATTCCATCAGCTGTATTGTGTTCAAATCTCAAGGCCACTGAGCCTCTTTTAAACAGGTAAGAGAAGACGCCACCGACATCGACGGCTACTAGTGAGCCTATCCAGGTCCTGACCACAATTTATTTCTCTCTGTCAAACTTCAGGAGGGACTTATATGTCCTAGAAGCAACAGAGAATATCTTCACCTTGTGTTACAGAGTGATTGTGCTCATGCTGTGGTTGAATGGGGTTTGTGGATGATGTGGTGATTATGTTTTAAGGTTTTAAGGTTTATTTTAAGCAGATTGTCATTGCATCCCATCATCCCAGATCAGCAAAAGAAAATAGAGAGATGTTAATGACAACTAGTCCTTTTGAAAAGTTCAGATACATCACTGGGAGGGCATAGGCTGAACACCTAGTACAATTGAATTTACAGCTGTACTTGCTATAAATCAGCTCAGCAGATTGAAAACTGCTCAGCCTTTCCAGGGCAACTGAGTGTGAAAGCAAAGATCTATATTATCTATAAACTATAAACTCTCTTTCTGTTCTGGTGTATGGTTTTTGAATTGTAAATAAGGAGATTAATTTGGTGCAGCCCCTCTCAGCTCCATTATCTTGGGGCTTGCATGCATTCCGGGTTTTATTTCTTCATTTAAAATGCGTCTCAAACAGATGGAAGCCTAGCTATGGAGACTGTTTTACATTGAAGTGCAGCTCAAAGTTTGGGCAGCCTAAAAGTCAGGTCCAGAGGCCCCTCTTATTTTGCATCTGGCTCTTGCATCACTGTTAATTATAGCGAGTGTGGTGACTCATTTATATCAGCCGTTTTTATCTTTTCCTGCCAGAAGACAGCATTTCTCTGGAGAAGCTCAGGACAAGCATGGCAAACGTCAGCGAGTCGGAAAGAGCCAGGTCTTACAACAAAAGTACAGCCACATTGATTGTTTCAACTGCACAGGGAAGAACAGAGATTCTCAGACGACCCTGTAAGTTTAGCTTGCAGTTAAGATCATGGGCTATGGAAAGCAGACCAACCTGGCTTCAAATTCTAAATCTCCAGTTTCTTTATCTGTGAAGTGGGGACAAAAGTCCCTGCCTGATAGGATCATAGTGAGGTTTAATTTTTTTTAAGTATGAAAACATCAAGTACATAGCAAATGCTCATAAACATTATCTAGGAAAACTATTACCCAAGAAATTACTGGCTCATTTCTTTTACCTCTCCCTCCTCCAGGCATCCTCTTGCAGTATCTAGCCATCCTCACAGGTCAGCTCTGAAAAATGGTAAAAAGTCCATTGCCCTCTACCCCAACCCAGAGTTAATAACTTTTGCAGCAATTGAGCTTCTTGCCAGCCTTGCCACAGAGACCATCTCTGCTTGCTCTGTGTCTTCTGTAAAGCACTTGTGAACACTGTATGTGTTTCTGAGACCCACTGTGTTACTCTTCCATAGACTGTGAGGAGTTAGTGGGTGAAAGTAGGTCAGTGGGAGCTCCCTGTGGCCCAGGCTTGAGGCGGTGTTGGGTGCAGTGGTCAGCATGTGCACTTTTCCATCTTGCTTTATTTACTGCAGCACCTGGTTTAGCATATGACTCAGTACTCCCAGCTCCCCAACTCCCTCTGCTGGATCTTCCCAGACTCTTCCAGTCACCCGGAGCCCTCTCTTCTCTGAACCTCTGTAGCATTTAGAGTACCTTTAACATTAAATAGTACTTTAGATCAGAATAGTGCTTTCCCATCCTTTTTGATCTTTAGGACAATCCTGTAAGGTAGACAGGGCAAGTGTTATTCCCACTTTACAGATGAGGAAATTGAGGCTCAGTAGAAGTAAGTGGCTAAGGCAGCTCTTAGTCTTGGTCTTCAGCATCCAGGTGTCGTCCTCCCAAAACATGCTTGGTGGTGTAGACTTGCACTCTGCTCCCTTGCCTCATTTTTATATATCCTTTTTTTCTTTTTGGCTGGAGTATAGTGGTGTGACCTCGGCTCACTGCAACCTCTGCCTGCTGGGTTCAAGCGATTCTCCTGCCTCAGCCTCCCGAGTAGTTGGGATTACAGGCTCATGGCATCATGCCCAGCTAATTTGTGTGTGTGCGTGTGTGTGTATTTTTTTTTTTGAGACGGAGTCTCGCTCTGTTGCCCAGGCTGGAGTGCAGTGGCGCGATCTTGGATCACTGCAACCTCCAACTCCTGGGTTCAAGCGATTTTCCTGCCTCAGCTTCCCAAGTAGCTGGGATTACTGGCGTGCACCACCATGCCTGGCTAATTTTTGTATTTTTAGTAGAGATGGGGATTTCACCATGTTGGTCAGGCTGGTCTTGAACTCCTGACCCCGTGATCCGCCCACCTTGGCCTCCCAAAGTGCTGGGATTACAGGCATGAGCCACCGTACTGACCTTCATTTTTATATATCCCATCTTCTCTGCTGGAGTGTGAGCTTCTAGAGGGAAGGAGATCCTCTTCTCCCTTTCCTGCATTACTTCCATTAGGGCTTCTCAACTTTCATGTCCATGGACAGCAGCTGGGGAATTTGCTAAAGTTCAGGCTTAGATTCAGAACTTCTGGGGCAGGGCGTTGAGAGTCCTCTTTTCTGACAAGTTCCCAGGGGATTCCCCCTGTGCCGGCCTGTGGATGACACTGTGTGTAGCGAGGATCTACAGGGTGGGCTTGTTAAATACTTGAAGGGTGACTGATGAGATTTGCACTTGACTATCCTGGGATGGTGCTGGGCCCTTCTAGTCCTTGAGAGGAGCCAGCGAAGATGGCCCAGGGCCCTGCTGTGAAGGTCCACTGTGGGTCAAGAAACGCATGCTGAATGCAGTCAGAGGAACTGTGTGCACTAGCCCAGGGGAATCAATCCATGAGGGGGTTGTTTTCAAACACAGTTGGCAGATCCTATGTTGGTGACTTCCACAAGTTGGGGAGACTTCCACAGGTAAGATCAAGTGTGGTGAGGGTCCATACCTGCCTCTCCAGTCCTTGCACCTCACTCAGTCACACATCTCAGCAGTGGACCCCTGCCTCCCTGATGCCCTGTTTTCCAGCATCCACAAATTGAAGTCTTATGGCCTTGGTGAGGATGTATTCCTTGCGAGCCCCAAGCCTCACTGGCAGGCAGCGTTTTCCCATGTCTTGCTGCTGCTAGGAACTACTTTCTTGGCTCTATTGGGTAACAAAGAGCAAAGGTGATGGTCCTTGGAGCCCTGTCCTCCCTGAAGGGTGTTTGCAACACTGATCTTGGACTAACGGATGTGCCAGGAAGAAGTTTGGGTGTGTGTGTGGGTGGGTGGTGGTCGGGTGGTTGATTTTGCTCCCCCAGGGGATATTTGGCAATTCTGGAGACATTTTGGATCATCATGACCAGGGCAGGGGTGGGGTGCTCCTGGTATCTGCGGGATACAGGCCAGAGATGCTGCTAAACAACCTACAGTGCACAGGACAGCACTTTCCTCCCCCTTCCCAAAGAAAGCTCTGGCCCAAAATGTCAATAGTCCCCTGGTTGAGAGACCCTGGCATAGAAGAGGGAAGTTGCTTGCCGTAGATGGACTGTTACCAGATGAGAGGGGTGATGGGGTGCATCTTGGCTGGCCTAAGAATTGCTGTCTGGGCTGTCTTGAACCCACCATTCTGAATTAACTGACTCGCAGGAGGCATTGTTCTTCAAAGTCTTGAAACAGGAAGAGTGGCTTGTAGGAATTTCTCATAGGTAAGTGCATGAGAACCACAAAAAGGGAAACAAATCCCTATGAAAATATAAAGGTCTGGGCTCTTCATTCAGGTCTTTTCTTCTACTGACTATTTTAATTATCGAGTGGATGAAATATGTGAAATTATTTATTTGATAGGATCTTGCAAAACTGATAAATAAATATAAATGTTCATGATGATGATCACACCTGGTCTGATTTCTATTGTCGGTTGATGTTATGCTGAGAAAGTAGCTGATTCCATGGAGGGCTCTGGGCTTTCCTCCATGTTTCAAGCAAAATCCTGATTCTGTTAGCTCTCAGGCTGGCCTTGAGAAGGAAAGAGAGAGCCAGACAGCATAGGAAGGGTATAGTAATTTAGAGGTCTGGAAACCCACTGGCCAGCCCTGTACAGTTAGGACGATCAAGACCAGATCCCTGAATAAGGTTGTGCTTCAGAGACTGATGAGGGGATGAGGACAAATTCCTGAAGTCCGGGGATCTGGAAGGTCAGTGCCTTTAAGCACAGACAAAATTATCCCAATTCGAGTAGAGGCCTCAGACAGGGAGACCGCAGCGGTAAGCAAGTCAAGCAGACCAAATGAGCAAATGTGAGCTGCGGAGTTGGTGCAATATTTTTATGGAGTAGGGGAGGATTGAAGGATGGTCTGGGGGATGGGCTGAGATAAATGCAGAGGGGAGAGGTTGGTTGAGACCAGTGGCTTTCCCCTCTCCTGTCGTCCCAGAAGCATTGGTGATGCTGACACTTGGCCATGAAGGATTGCCTGATGCAGTGGGGACTTGGAGGGCCATGGAGGAGGCAGTTGGGCTCCAGGAGAAAGAAGGAGGCGTGGAGTGAGGAAGACCAGTCTGGGAAGAAAGATGAGACGGATGAGGAATGGAGTGCGGATGTCAGGGAGGTCTGCAGGAAGAGGGGGCTTCTGTCTCACAGGGCCTGCCCCTAGCATGAACCTGCACCAGCCTGTGAACGCACACCCCAGGACTTTCACAATTAGGAGATGCTCAAGTGATGAACGGCAAATCGGATCAATGCACACCATGTATTGATCCTTTGTGTGCATCTCAGTGCCATTTTACATGCATTCTCCATTTACATGCAGTCTCTCCACTCACCTCCTTTTGATAGTGGTTCCCATTTTACAGATGAAGAAACCAAGACTCCAAAAGTACCTCCCACAGGGTCATGCAGTTCATGCATGTGGCAGAGTTGAGATTTTAATCTGACTGAGTCACAGCCCATATTCTTCACTCCTACACTGTACCACATTTGTCCCAGGCACGTTGGCCTTATGCACCAGAGGAGCAGGAATGTTGAGAGAATGCAACAGTGATATCTTGCCTGCTTGCTGGGATACCAGGGATGTTTTTCAAGTGCCTAGAGAAAGGACGGGCAGGATTGACACAATGTTCCCTTCTCCCATACCCAGTTGTAGAGCCTGTTTACAAAATATGTTTTCATTCAACATTTTGTATTAAATACCGGAACTCAAGAAACGACACAGCATAATGTTAGCCGGATAGTGATAAAAGGGGAAAATTGAGAAACACATCTTAAGAGTTCAAGGTCAATGATTACTCTTTAAAAGCAGTATCCTGCTTTCCCAAGGAGTTCTACGTCAGAGGGAGCGGGCTGAGGAGGAAGCTGTTGGTTTCCAGGGATGGAGGGGTGCGGGGGACTCTTGCGGACGTGACCCCATGGATGGGATTGTCCCACTTCTCAGCAGGCAGCCTCCACTTTTAAAAGATGAGTTCTTACCATCCAAATGAAAAAGGCCAGGGAGCCTGTCCTAGAGACACCGCCTGTCCCAATTTTTCTGACTTCTAAAAGTATAACGATCCCTGTCGGTGGCCTCTATCTTTGCCCGCATTCCAGCCCTGCCCTGGCAAACCTCTCCCCTAGCAGCGTCCTGGGAAGGAGTGCTCCCTGCTCTGGCTCATGGAGAGCTCGTTGTGGAGGAAGAAGGCGAGAGGAGCTGGGTGGGACAGCTTCTGCCTTCACCCATAACCAGGCTGGGGGAGACAGCATTTACCTCTCCCTCCTGAGAGAGCTGCCTTTGAATTCACTCGGTGGGCAACACAAAGTGCCCATCCAGTGAATGTTCCCGATGCTGCCTGATGAGAGAGATGTTCCTGATGCTGCCTCATGGAGACAAACCACCACTGTTTCTAGGCAAGGGTTCCCAGGCCCCAGGGAACACCACTGAGGAGAACTTTGAAGGACACCCCTCCCCACAACCCCACCAGTGTTAGTAGCATTCAACCGCTAGTGGCAAGATGCCACAACAGTTCTGCCTATTGCTCCAGCCCCTGGCCAGTCTCTGCTCACCTCTGCTCACCAAGGACAGCCTAGAAAGGGACCAGAGCAAAGGGTAAGGATTGTGGGAAGAGGCAATGGGGTGGCATGGCCCCCACCCCCAAAGAGACAGGAACATTCCAGTGCTGAGGTGCAGTGGCTACCAGCACACCCTCTGCCACTCACTGCCGTGAGCCCGGCAACGCCTTCTGTGCCTTGGAGCTTCAACTCAGACAGCACCACTCTTCACCTCCCAGGTTGTCCTAAAGATGAAAGGAGAGGCCACAGGTGCTTAGCCCGCCTACCCTCGGTCTTGCTGGCAGGCACTGCTCAGGGCAGTCAGGCCTCTGGCTGTGCGTGGAGCAGGTGCAGCCATTCAGAAAGGACTGAGGCAGAGCCTGATGCTGGGCCCCGGCCTGCACTGGCCCTGCGCCACTCCTGCCAGGGAGCCTTGGCCCTGCCTCACTGCAGAGAGGAGAGCTGGGCACCGCTGGGCGGAGCAGGCAGGAGCCGGGGTCAGTCACTGCCAAACTCCCTCGTCACACAGTTGTCTCTGTTCTCCTTTGACCTGCACAAGTCAGGAAGTGGAAGGGACACTTGCCCATCTGTCTCACCCCAGAGAGGAAGGTGCTGTTAGGGGACTGGCTGGGACCCACCCTCATTGGAGGTCAGGCCCATGCCTCAATTGTTCTGTGCATCCTTTGTATAAAGGTCTTCTCTGAACCCATCAGAATGCCTCCTGCCAGTTTCAACTTCCCAGATAAGAGGAGAAGAAGAAGGCATGGAAAGCACTTGGGACAAGTACACCTTTCTCACCTGAGTGTGTCGGCAGGAGGGACAGTATCAAGGAATCGGGCTCAGTTCACAGGGCGATTTGGGGCCTTGGAGACACCTTGCCTCCTAAGTTCTGGTTTCAAAGGAGCAGAACAGTGACACAAATAACCACAAGCAGCACTAATTCAAACATTCAGGTGCTGTGTTCCGAAATGAATTTATAGTGTGTTTAAAAAACATCCACATGGTAGATTCATCTGTCAGACTGCGGCCTTCTCAATGATGCAACTGCATCACGAGTGAAACCGAAGCATCTGCTCATTTATCTGACTGTAGGGTGCCAAATCTCCAGATATTTAGTCTTATTTTGCCCATTTTCATTCTTATTTGTCCTTTGAAGGTTACAGGCTCTGTAGATATATGAAGCTCCATTTTATTCCCTGGATCTGCCACTTCCCAGCCCCCTGATTCTGGACAGGTCCATGTAGCCCTCAGTTTGCCCATCTATGAGGCGAGGCTATAACAGTAACCTCATGGGACAGATGCGTGTTACATGAGACACAGTGCCTGGCATGGGGGTCAGCTCATAAGAGAAAGTTAATTAACAGTGGTGCTTATTACTGTCTTCCACACTGTAGACACTAATGGTTGTCTGGCTTGACATGTCCTGGGGAGCCTCTTGGTTTTTCCTGGGCACCCCTCACCTGGAAGTCAATGAGGGTGGCCCAGGATACTGGCAAGATGGCCCAGTTGAGGCAGGGCATACCAATGCCCTGGTAAGGCTGGCACTCCCTTTCCTGCTGCAAGCATTCCTTGACAACTCCATGAGGCGGAATGCAAACACCAGGCGAGTTCCGTACCATGCTGTAGACGCCAGGATGCACTCCTAGAAGCAGATATGTGAAGGCTCCAACCCCGCAGAAGAATTCATTAGGACAGCCTGTGATATGGTGCTGAAACCAGAGGCTTGTTCAGGCGGGCCAGGGATGGGGAAGTCTCGTCCCTGCTGAACTTCTACAGCTGATAAAGGCAGTGTCTGCTGGCAGATTTCATTTTTCACCGAGCCATCTGCATCCAGTCAAGGATAACTTGTCTTTCCGAAAAAGCTACTCTTCAGTGTCAACCCTGCACAACCTCCCCACAGTGAGTCAGGCCCCACTGCTGGTGCCTGGGGTCATGGGGGCGGTGTGGTATCAACAAACCAGTGTCATCATAATATACACGGAAGCATTGAAGTGACGAGCTGTTTACGTGGCTGATGCCCCGTTGCCTTTTATCAGCCCAAGTTATTGCCGATTTAGCTCTGTGTTAGCTAGTCTATAAATCTTCATGGCAGTGTTTTTATTTTCTTAATTTTGTCATTGCTATTATCACCTGTTTACATAAAGAACATTACTACTGTCTCTAGTCATTCTTGTTCTCCATCGTTTCTCCCACTTTTCATCCCTTCCCTCCACTTCTCTCTCACAGGTTGGAAATTCTCAGTTTGAGGCAGTTGGTCTGACCCTTCCCTCTTATGCGTGGATTCTCATGGCGGGTCCCGAGGGTACATCTGGGGGTGCCCTCCCTGGCTGCAGTGCATCCCTTTGGAGGGCTTATAGATTTGGGGGGAACTTAGGAGAACAACCAAGTTCTGGCCTTAAACTCTCCCATTCCTTACTTTGATTGCCAAAAAGGTTAACGCCAGCCATAGTGGTCTGAGTCTTCCTAGGACATCCCTTCAGAGCTGAGATAGGCCAGGAGGAGCCCTGTCCACTGCTGTAGTCAGTTCTTGCCCATAATTGGAGAAGAGACGTACCCTATTAGCTGCTGTTGCCCAACTACCACCATTGGAATTGCTTCTATAGACTTTCTGGAAACATGGACATTTAAACTAGGTGAAGGAATGATGTCCTTCATTTCTTAAAATCAGAGATAAGTTTATAACGTCATTCATTTAGCAGACATTGATTGTGAGCCTCCTGTGTTTCTGGCCCCTCATTCAGAGATAAATCATGCACTGCCTTCTCCCCAAGTATATTAGTCCCTTCTTGCACTCCTATAAAGAAGTATCTAAGACTGGTTAATTTATAAGAAAGAGGTTTAATTGGCTAATGGTTCCACAGGCTGTACAGGAAGCCTAGTGACTTCTGCTTCTGGCGAGGCCTCACGGAGGTTTTACTCATGGCTGAAGGCAAAGCAGGAGCAAGTGCGTCTCACACGTGGGGAGAAGTGGTGGGGCGATGCCACACACTTTTAAACATTCAGACCTCATGAGAACTCACTATCGTGACAAGAGCACCAAGAGGGGATGGCGTTAATTCATGAGAATCTGCCTCCATGATCCAATCACTTCCAACCTCCATGATCCAGGCAACCTCCAGCATTGGGGGTTACATTTCAACATGAGATTTGGGTAGGGACACAGATCCAAACTATATGACCAAGAGTCTCACAGTCTAATAGAAGAATCGGACACTTAAACAGGTAATACAGGCATGGGCAAAGGATCAACAATGAGCTTTAACAGGGGGAAGGTTTAACAGAGTTATTTTCAGCCTGGTTCTTGAAGGATGTATAGGAGTTTTTCAGAAGGAAGAGAAAGGGAAGAAGCTTCCAGGTAAAAGGATGTGCAGGAATTAAAAGGACAGGGAATATCTTGGCATACCTGGAGTCACAGTGGGGAAGGAGAATACTGGGCCATTGTCCACAAGAGACTCTTGCTTGCTCAGAATGGTGTACCCTCAAAGCTGGCTACCCAGGGTACATGGAACTGGTTTCCACTGGTTTGCTAGTAGCAGCTGAGCTGCTAACTCTTTAACAACTGGCTCCCACCCACCTCGGCCTCCAAAGTGCTGGGATTACAGGCATGAGCCACCGTGCCTGGCCCATAAGACATGTTTTCTAACCAAGATGTCACTTCTTGTTTAGCTGAAGGCAGTTGTTAAATATTTAGGTATTTTGCAAGCCAAATGTTAAAGTGTTAGTAGCTTGAACTGAAAGTCTTTACACCATGGGAATTGGCAAGTGCTACAAAGCAGGACTGCCTTTGTTGCTTTGTTTTCCAGAGAACCAGTTTACCTGTATACCATGGTAGGCTACTCTTTGGATGGTGGCTGAGAAGTTATATCCCAAGAGCACCTGAGCAACGTGTCTCTATGTGCTCAATTATTCCTTGTGTCTGGAAGGTCCAGCGGAGTGGTTCTTCTTAAGCATGTAGTCTTCAAAGATAGGGTCAAAAGAGAAATAGAAAAAAAATGTGACTTTTTCTTGTTCTTTGAGGATGGCTAGGTTTGTTCCTTGTTTCTGCCTCACAGCCTGTTCCTGTTCTTCCTCCAACTGGCCTATTCTGAAGCCTCCTTGAGGTCCAACCCCTGGGTCAGTTCCCATGGAGATGATTAGCAGGTCCTTGGTTTCTTCTCTCAGAGGCAGGACAGCACTTGTCCTGGAGGGGCTGGGGCAGAGGCTGGGCGTAGACCCAGGGGATCTCAGCTTAGCCAATCTCAAAGAAAAGGACTAACTTTTTAAAGACCTTTCCCCACCTTCCCTTTGTCTGAATTGAACAGTTATTTCACTGTCAGTTGACATGGTCTTGGCCTCAATAAATGTATGTATGGTTGCTCAGACCCTGAAATCCCTGGCCGCAAACAATGGATTGTCCCAATGCAGTGTGATGAAAGAGGTCAAACAAAATACACTGCAATCTCAGGTTGGCTGCTGACCGGTGGTGGGAAGTGTAAGTGAACAAGTCACTTAACCTCTCTGAACCTCATTTTCTTTATCTGTATAATGGGAATAATCCCAATGTATAGCATTGCTCTAAGGATTAAATGAGACCACCTGCATAAAGTGCCTGGCTTTGCTAATTAATGTCCTTTTCCCTCCTGCCTTTGGCTCCAAGCACCTGCCTGACTACTTATTACTGCTTATCCTCATTTGCCGCTAATGAGGGTGATGCTGACTTGAACAATGTCAATCAGGGATCTACCTGCATTTCTCCTACTGGACCCCATTTGGAGCATATTTGTAAGGTCAGTAACCCATCTGGGGAGAGGACACATGGTGTGGCTTTCTTATCATCATGCTCTAATCTCTCTGAACCTGTAAAATGGGGATAATAATAGGCTGGGCACGGTGGCTCACGCCTGTAATCCCAGCACTTTGGGAGGCCAAGGCGGGCGGATCATGACGTCAAGAGATCAAGACAACCCTGGCCAACATAGTGAAACCCCGTCCCTACTAAACATACAAAAATTAGCTGGGCATGGTGGATCATGCCTGTAGTCCCAGCTACTCGGGAGGCTGAGGCAGGAGAATCGCTTGAACCTGGGAGACAGAGGTTGCAGTGAGCCGAGATCGCACCACTGCACTCCAGCCTGGTGACAGTGAGAATCCATCTCAAAAAATAAAATAAAAAAATAATAATAATAGTGCTCACCTCATAAGTTTGCAGTGAGGCTTAAATTAGATAATGTATTTAAGGTGTTTAGCAATTTGCCTGGCACATTGTGAGCACTCAGTGAAGGTGCTGTTATTTAACTTGGCATGGCTAAATAGAGTTGAAAGGATTCTGAGGCTGAAGGACCACAAAACTAGAAAGGAGCTTAGATGCCAATCTTTTTTGTTTACAGAGAGACAAAGGACCGTGTAATTAGTGGCAAAGCCAGGACTCAAATCCAGGTATCCTAACTCTGAGTCCAGAGCTCACCAGCTCTAATCAGCAGGAAATGGTGAATCCTCCTATTGGACCTTTTTTTTCCCCTCCCTACTGAAGCTGAAAGTCCAGAACAATGATCCCCCAAGGAAGATCATTAATTACTGGGGTTTGTTATTTTGAGGCTAATTAGGATTCACATTGCTGATTTCCCTAAAGGATAAACTACAAGGAAGTTGGGGCTTCATTTCCAGGAATATGGAAGCTGTTACATGCTGCCTCTGAGCACACCCCCAGTGGGGACCGGAGCCCCTTAGAGCTGGGACATACATCATCCAGAAATCTGGCTGCTTTGAGCCAGATGCAAATACAGGCAACACCCAAAGCTGGGATTTCACCTCTCTCCATAGCAGGATGAGGCATTTTAGCAGATAAGACAAAGCTGGGGAAATTGGCAAAAATTGAATAGCCTCAAAACAAATGTATTTGGAGCAGAGTATTGACCATATGTAAAGTGTATAAAAGTGGTTTTTTAAATACATGGGGCATTTTTTTTCTCCCCTTCTTTTCTGTGTTTATTTTGGCAATTATCTTGAGATGACTATTGACATTCTTGATCGTTGAAAATCTTCCTCTAGGAGCTGGCCTCATTTTTGTATTTTTTTCTTTTTCTTTTTCTTTTTTTTTTTTTTTTTTGGAGACGAAGTCTCACTCTGTTGCCTAGCTGGAGTGTAGTGGTGCGATCTCAGCTCACTGCAACCTCTGCCTCCCAGGTTCAAGTGATTCTCCTGCCTCAGCCTCCCGAGTAGTTGGGATTACCAGCACCCTCTACCACACCCAGCTAATTTTTGTATTTTTTAGTAGAGATGGGGTTTCGCCATGTTGGCTAGGCTGGTCTTGAACTCCTGACCTCAAGTGATCCACCTACCTCAGCCTCCCAAAGTGTTGGGATTACAGGCATGAGCCACTGCGCCGGCCCATTTTTGCATTTTTTGCCCTTATTTTCATCTGAAACACCCAGGACACATAAGCATAGGAAAAGAGGGGAGGGAGAAGGCTGGATCACCCCTCTTTCTTATGTGGTATCTGTCCACTAACTCCTGGTTTATGTACAGAGAGGTGCAAATCAAAGGCTTCAGAGCCAGACCATCCTGGGGTTTGTGTCCAGCTCTGCCACATTTCCCATCTGATTCTCACTAAGCCATTTGGCCTCTTTAAATCTCATTCGCTCATCTTTAAAATGGAAATAATAGTACCTACTTGTATCTGTCTGCATCCAATCAGGAGACAGAAACCACACAGCAATTTGAACAGGGATTGTTTTAATCTAAAGAAGTATGAAATGATGATAGGTGAGTATCCATGAAGATGTGAAGGGAACTCTAAGGGTCCTCCAGGGTGGAGGGAAAGTGCCCAAGAAAGGACAAACTTGGAAGGGGGAGGCCTTCCCCGAGGCTGGGGTTTGGACTAGGTTGGAGAAGGCATGGTGCCACCCACTGGATGGTGAAGTCTGTGGGCTTCCTGGTAGCAGGAAACAGCCCTCCCAGGTCCAGGTGAGCCAAGGTGAGTGGGCAGATGGAGTCAGGATGCTGAGAATCTGCTTCCTGGCAGGGCGACAATTGGCCTAGGATTCGTGGTGTTGATGTTAGTAGGGCGGTGGAAAACAGCCCTCCCCAGGGAGGCAGGCAAACCGAGGCTGGAGGGTAGGCCGGGAGCGTGTTGGGGAGCCCTGGGGTGCACTGGCATTTGCAACAGGAAGGCCACAGCAAGGTGGTCACTGGGCCCCCAGCAGGGCTGCAAAGTGGCTGAGGGACTGGGCACTCTGGGAGCCTGGGTGGAGCAGAATGCCACTGGATGTCCTCACATATGCACAGGAGGACGCTTTACAAAGCAGGTGGAGCAAACCAAGCAAAAGAGCGGGCCAGAACCAGGAAGAGAAGCGGCGTCCTCCCGTGATGTCTCTCCAGCGCCCTCTACTGACAAAGCTTATCGTGGCGCTCAATGTAAAGGACAAATGCTTTACACGTCATTATGGCAGAGCAGGTACTGAAGGGTGAATTTGGACCTGAGAAGGATACATTGATTACCTGGCACACGACTTCATAGAGTTGTTTGGGGGATTAAATGGAAAGAAGCCATGTAGAGCCCTTAGCACAATGCCTGGTAACCTTTCAGTAAATGAAATCTGTTCTCTTGATTCCTGCTAGGGGATATCAATCTATGTTTACCAAAATGTGTACTAAGGTCTTTAACTTTTGTAGTAATAAACCCCATTTTTGATGAGAAACTGGCTCTGAAGAATAGCTGGATGGTCTCATAAAAGCCACAGATGAAAGCAATCCCCCCCGCCTTTCGTATGGTGATGATTAACAAGTAGCACCTTTAGAGATGCTTCCTGGGGAGCTGTAGACTGGGCTGCCCTGGAATTGAATTGTAATAAATCATTCATCCCCCAATTGTGTCAATGTATCCAGGCTCTCCAGCCTCTGGCATCGTTTCATGATGGCTCATTCCTACATTTCCCCTGAAAAAAAAAAAAAAAAAAAAAAAAAAAAGAAAGAAAAAAAATGTTTAATTGAGTCCCAAAAGCTTGTGAATAATTAAATTCCAAGGGTTCTTAGAGACCACCTCTCCTGACTTCATTATTTGGATGAGGCCTAGAAAGATGAATTAGATTGCCCAGGGTCATCTAGCACAAGGCAGGACAATGACTGGAACCCAGGTCACACTGTGTCACACTTTGCATCACCCTGTCTGCAAAGGGCATGCAACAAGTGAGGCACGTGTTTCATAACCCGAAATGGAGTTTCCAAATATGAATGAATATAGGTGTGTGGTCTGGATAGTGTCATTCCAAAATTCACGTCACCTCAGAATGTGACTTTATTTGGGAATAAGGTCATTGCAGATGCAATTAATTGTGATGCAGTCATACTGGAGTATGCTTGTCCCATTTCATGGCAAATTTTATTTCCAATCATCAGTCTTATCACCGGGATTCACCAGGTGTCTTTCCTCTCTCCATCCACTTGCTCAGTGATGTGGAAGATACTGAAAGAGAGATGAAATAATTTGCTAGGTCATAAGGCTGGTGAGTGGCCAACTCACATCAAGAGCAGTTCTGTTTTCCTCCCAAGTCAATGCTCTTTCGACGGCACTATAAATAATCCCTTTATTACATGAATTCTCTCAAAATATCGGGAAAAGGAATGGCCTGTTAACTGAGATGATTGTATAAATTGAATTTGTTTTTGATCCTTGAATCTGACAAGGATACAATACTGCCTCTACCCTGCCCTTTCCCCCACCAAATAATTTAAACTAAGCATACGTGGGAAACGATTAAAAAATGGTATATCAGATTGTATGACTTAGAATAAAACAACACATTAAAAGAAGTGGCCAGTCATGGTGGCTCACGCCTATAATCCCAGCACTTTGGGAAGCTGAGGTGGGCGGATCATCTGAGGTCAGGAGTTCGAGACCAGCCTGGCCAACATGGTGAAACCCCTGCCTCTACCAAAAAATACAAAAATTAGCTGGGCGTGGTGGTGTGCACCTGCAGTCCCAGCTACTGGGGAGGCTGAGGTGGGAGAATGGCTTGAACCTGGGAGGTGGAGGTTGCAGTGAGCTGAGATCGTGCCATTGCACTCCAGCATGGGCAACACAATGAGACCCTGTCTCAAAAAAATATTGTCCACTATGGGTATATAAGGTTTATTTTGGGTGTGCACCTGTAATCCCAGCTACTCAGGAGGCCGAGGTGGGAGGATTGCTTGAGTCCAGGAGTTCAAGAGCAGCCTAGCTAACACAGTGAGACTCCGTCACAAAAAATTACACACACACACACAAACACACACACACACACAGACACACACACACACACTGGACTTAATAGGATTTTTGCTCAATCTGGGCTCTGCAAACCTGAGCTTAGTTGAGAAAAGGGCTTAGAGGACACTGATTAAAGTTTGGCCAAGGAGAGAGTCATTGTTACTTCCACTTAGCATGTTTCAAGTTTCATCTGTGGTCAGCATGCGTCATCACTTCATTCCTTTCAAAAAAGGTTTATTTTGGGAATGGAAGGTATCATTCATATAAATTATTAATGGTTTACTATTTAAAAAGAAAAATAATTATCTTAATAAGTATAAAACACCACATCTTCCACAAAAAACTTATCACTTTTCTTAATTAAACTCTTTAAAATTTGGTAGGAAGAATTTCTGTACACACACACATTACACTTGTGTCTTAGTCTATTCACCCTGCTATATAGCAAGATAACATAACTAGATGGTTTATAAACATCAGAAATTTATTCGTCACAGTTCATGAGGCTGGGAAGTCCAACATCAAGGTGCAGGCCTGGTGTCTGGTGAGGGCTGCTCTCTGGCTCATAGATGGCCCCTTGCTGTGTCCTTACATGGTGGAGGGAAAGAATTCACTCTTTAGGACCTCTTCTCTAAGGGCACTAATCCCATTCACAAGGGCTCTGTCCTCATGGCCTAATCATCTCCCAAAGGCCCCACATCCTAATACCATCACCTTGGGGGTCAGGATTTCAACATATGAAATTTGGGGGGACACATTCAGACCATAGCAATGTGCACATTAAAACAACAATGAGATGCCATTTCACATTTGCTGAAATGGCTCCAGTGGAAAAAACTGACAACACCAAATACCGCCAAGGATGTGCAACAGCTAGACTTCTCATACACTGCTGAGGAGAGTGTGAAATAGCAAAGCCATTTTGGAAAAACTGTTTGGCAGTTCCATATAAAGCTAAGTATACATCTACCCCATGGCCAAGCAATTCTATATTCTTTGTTATCTACCCCCACAAAAATGAAAACAAATATCCAAAATAAGAATTGTACAAGAATGAGAAAAAAGAATTGTATAAGAATGTTTATATTACTTGTATTCAGAATAGCTAAAAATTGCAAACAACCCAAATGTCTATCAATGGGAGAAGGTATAAGTGAATAAAGTGTGGCACATTCATACAATGCAATACTATCCAGCAATTTGAAAAATGAACAACTGATATATGCAACAACATGGATGAATCCCAAAAAAGTTTGAATGAAAGAAGTCAGACAAAGGGGAAGATACCACGTCATTCCTAATATATGAAGCTCAAGAAAAGGCACCATTTCTATGATGATATAAATCAGAAAAGTGGTTGTGTGTGGAGGGTGATGTTTTCCTGGAAGAGGGCACAGGGAAATTTTCTAGGGTAATGAAATGTTCTTTATCTCGATTGGATTGTTGAGTACTTGGGCATATACATTTAATGAAAGTCATCAAACTGTACACTTAAAATCTGTACATTTCATTGATTTTTACCTCAGTTAAAAAAAAAAACCTTCCAGTCTGCCTCATGACCACGACCTCAAAGCAAAAAAAGGAGAAGGAGGAGGAGAAAAGAATGTTTGGAGTGGGGTTATAAAACAAGAATGAATAAAACAGGAATGGAGAAATGTTAAAAAATTGTGAAGGCTGAGTAGTGACCACATGGGGGTTTAATAGTGTACTTTTCTGTCTTATCTTTGTGCATGTTAAAAATTTCCATAATATAAAGTTTTAGAAATTAGGCCAAGCAAGGTGGCTTATGCTTGTAATTCCAGCACTTTGGGAGGCCAAGGCAGGAGGATGGCTTGAGGTCAGAAGTTGGAGATCAACCTAGGAAACATAGTGAGACCCTATCTCTACAAAAATTAAAAAGTTAGTTGGGAATGGGGGCACATGCCTGTAGTCCCAGCTACCGGGAGGCTGAGGTGGGAGGATCCCTTGAGCCCAGGAGTTTGAGCCTGCAGTGAGCTATGATTACACCACTGCACTCCAGCCTGGGCAAGAGAGTGAGAACCTATCTCAAAAAAAAAAGATTTAAAAAATTAAATGCAAAAGCCAATATTAGAAGAACCAAAGCAATTCTCCTTCAAAACAGAAGCAGACAAGGATGTCTCTTGTCCTTACTGCTCTCTTTGTTTCCTTCTTTCTTTCTTTCCTTCTTTCTTTCTTTCCTTCTTTCCTTCCTTCCTTCCTTCCTTCCTTCCTTCCTTCCTTCCTTCCTTCCTTCCTTCCTTCCTTCCTTATACCAGTCTGAGTCAACAAACAAAACTTTCCTGGGAACCTAAACAACACTTTAAATTCTAGTAAACTAAACTCATAAATATGGTGATTGATATGGTTTTGCTGTGTCCCCACCCAAAACTCATCTTGAACTGTAGCTCCTACAATTCCCATGTGTCATGGGAGGGGCCCAGTGGGAGGTA
The DNA here is from genome assembly GCF_000001405.40 of Homo sapiens. NCBI lineage: Eukaryota > Metazoa > Chordata > Mammalia > Primates > Hominidae > Homo > Homo sapiens. Next base: position 32,370,093 of record NC_000011.10, on the reverse strand, counting down.
ATTGAATCATGGGGGCAGGTCTTTCCTATGCTGTTCTCATGATAGTGAATAAGTCTCATGAGATCTGATAGTTTTATAAAGGGGAGTTTCCCTGCACAAGTTCTATTATTCTCTCTTGTCTGCTGCTGTGTACGATGTGCCTTTTGCCTTCCACCATGATTGTGAGGCCTCCCCAGCCACATGGAACTGTGAGTCCATTAAACCTCTTTTTCTTTTTAAATTACACAGTCTTGGGTATGTCCTTATCAGCAGCATAAAAACTGACTAATATGGTAAATTGGTACCAGTAGAATGGGGCGCTGCTGAAAAGATACCTGAAAATGTGGAAGTGACTTTGGAACTGGGTAACAGGCAGAGGTTGGAACAGTTTGGAGGGCTCAGAAGAAGATAGGAAAATGTGGGAAAGTTTGGAACTCCCTGGAGACTTGCTGAATGGCTTTGACCAAAATGCTGATAATGATGTGGACAATGTAATCCAGGCTGAAGTAGTCTCAGATGGAAATGAGGAACTTGTTGGGAACTGGAGAAAAGGTGACTCTTGTTATGCTTTAGCAAAGAGACTGGTGGCGTTTTGCCCCTGCCCTGGAGATTTGTGGAGCTTTGAACTTGAGAGAGATGATTTAGGGTATCTAGCAGAACAAATTTCTAAGCAGCAAAGCATTCAAGAAGTGTTAAAAACATTCAATTTTAAAAGGGAAACACCATAAAGGTTTAGAAAATTTGCAGCCTGATAGAGAAAACAGAAAAGAAAATCCTATTTTCTGAGGAGAAATTTAAGCCGGCTGCAGAAATCTGCATAAGTAAGGAGGAGCTGAATGTTAATCACCAAGATAATGGGGGAAAATGTCTCCAGGGTGTGTCAGAGAACTTTGCAGCAGCCCCTCTTATCACAGGCCTGGAGGCCTAGGAAGGAATAATGGTTTTGTGGGCTGGGCCCAGGGTCACACTGCTGTGTGCAGTCTAGGGACTTGGTGCCCTGTGTCCCAGCTGCTCCAGCCATTACTAAAAGGGGCCAAGGTACAGCTCAGGCTGTGGCTTCAGAGGGTGCAAGCCCCAAGTCTTGGCAGCTTCCACGTGGTGTTGAGCCTGGAGGTGCACAGAAGCCAAGAGGTGAGGTTTGGGAACCTCTGCCTAGATTTCAGAGGATGTATGGAAATGCCTGGATATCCAGGCAGAAGTTTGCTGCAGGGGTGGGGCCCTCATAGAGAACCTCTGCTAGGGCAGTGCAGAAGGGAAATGTGGGGTGGGCAACCCCACACAGAGTCCCCACTGGGGTGCTGCCTAATGGAGCTGTGAGAAGAGGGTCACCGTTCTCCAGACCTGAGAATGGTAGATCCACCAACAGCTTGCACCACGCACCTGGAAAAGCCATAGATACTCAACACCAGCCTGTGAAAGCAGCCAGGAGGGAGGCTGTACCTTGCAAAGGCACAGGGGCAGAGCTGCCCAAGACCATGGGAACCCACCTCTTGCATCAGCGTGACCTGGATATGAGACATGGAGTAAAAGGAGATCTTTTTTTTTTTTTTTTGGAGCTTTAAGATTTGACCTCCCCACTAGATTTCAGACTTGCATGGGGCCTTTAGCCCCTTCATTTTGGCCAATTTTTTCTACTTGGAATGGGTATATTTATCCAATGCCTGTACCCCCATTTTATCTAGGAAGTAACTAACTTACTTTTGATTTTTTCAGGCTCGTAGGCAGAAGGGATTTGCCTTGTCTCAGTTGAGACTTTGGACTGTGGACTTTTCAGTTAATGCTGAAATGAGTTAAGACTTTGGGGGACCATCAGGAAGGCATGATTGGTTTTGAAATGTGAAGATATGAGATTTGGAAGGGGCCATGGGCAGAATGATATGGTTTGGCTGTGTCCCCACCCAAATCCCATCTTGCATCATAGCTCCCACAATTCCCATGTGTCATGGGAAGGACTAAGTGGGAGATAATTGAATCATGAGGGCGGGTCTTTCCTGTACTGTATTCATGATAGTGAATAAGTCTCACAAGATCTGATAGTTTTATAAAAGAGAATTTCCCTGCACAAGTTCTAGTATTCTCTTTTGTCTGCCACCGTGTGCCTTTCACCTTCAACCACGATTGTGAGGCCTCCCCAGCCAAGTGGAACCATGAGTCCATTAAACCTCTTTTTCTTTTTAAATTACACAGTCTTGTAATTTTAGGGTTCAAGGATAATAGAAGGATAGGTGCAACATGTATGAATATTAATATATTTCCTCTTTTTCCTTTTAAATTACACATGTCTTTATCAGCAGTGTGAAAAGACTAATATAGTAATTCTCAAGCCCTTTTCAACCTGGTATGTAAATTTAATCAGAATTTAGTTTAAATATTACACATACACATTAATCACTCATTACATTTTAAAATAGAATTTCAAGACTGACTTATCAACTCTAATAGACCCAACCTTCTTTCCTTTTTTTAAATTTTTTTGAGATGAAGTCTCACCCTGTTGCCCAGGCTGGAGTGCAGTGGCACGATCTTGGCTCACTGTAACCTCTGCCTCCTGGGTTCTAGCGATTCTCCTGCCTCAGCCTCCCAAGTAGCTGGGACTACAAGCATGCACCACAATGCCCAGCTAATTTTTGTACTTTTTAATAAAGATGGGGTTTCATCATATTGGTCAGGATGGTCTTGATCTCTTGACCTCGTGATCTGCCCACCTCAGCCTCCCAAAGTGCTGGGATTACAGGTGTGAGCCACCACACCCAGCCAACCCAACTTTCTTAAACCTTACACTCAAAATATCAAATATGCTCAGATGTCTTAACATAAAAATGCTAATATTTTTGTTTTATTCTCTTGCCATTCTATTGTTATGTATAAAAAATACCCCAGGTTTCAGAATTAAGGAACTTTTTACCTTCTGAGGAAAAAATTTCATTATCCTGAACACTTTTGGGGTTACCTTTGTCACAGTTGAATCTGAGTGCTGACTGCAATGCTGTCCACAAGACTGAAAGACCCACTGAGCTTTATTTACGGTTCTATATCTTATGGTTTCCAAATGGGGGTGGTCTTACAGCCAAGTCCCCAGCCTTTTCTCTACTCAGAGAAGCCTGCACACTTCCCAATCTGTGACTTCACTTGACTAATTGTGCATTTCTTTGACTCAAGATATTTACATGTTTCTGGTCTAGTTCTAAAGACCTTTGTACTTGCTGGAATCCTGCATTCTTTTCATATTTTTCCAGTCTTGGAGCCCCACAACAACCACAGAAGGATATGAACACAACACTCAGCTGGATTCTGGCTATTTTTCATTGCATTGTCTATGTGCTCACAACTTCTCAAAGTTATCCTAGTGACAATGAAGACTGGACAGGGATTTGAAATGCCGTAAATATTTAGAAGTTAATGTTCCTTGAATTCCATTTTTCTCTTTTGAAGTGCTATGACCATAATGATAATATTTAAGGGAAATATATGGTCTCTGGTGCATCATAAATCATAAAACTTTTCCTTCTACCAAATGTTACTTTGCCCAGGAAAATCAATTCTTCTCTCTAAGGGGCAAGTACTAATATGAAACCACTTGGAGAAATTGCCCCAGCCTTCTTTTAAGGCCCGTGTTTGCAGTTGTGCAGACGGAGGATTCTCTTTGATGGCAATACTAGGGTTGAAATCAGAGTGAAGAGAAAAATCAGTTCATTGCTGATGTTGCTGACATTGTTGATATTGACGAGAAAGGACGTCCCCCTCCCTAACAGCCACCCAGCCTCTCATTAAAAACAAACCAGCCTGGGCCGGGGTCGGTGGCTCATGCCTGTAATTCCAGCACTTTGGGAGGCTGAGGGGGGCGGATCACGAGGTCAGTAGATAGAGACCATCTTGGCTAACACGGTGAAACCCCGTCTCTACTAAAAACACAAAAAATTAGCCAGGCGTGGTGGCGGATGCCTGTAGTCCCTGCTACTCCGGAGGCTGAGGCAGAAGAATGGCGTGAACCCAGGAGGCGGAGCTTGCAGTGAGCCGAGATTGCACCACTGCACTCCAGCCTGGGTAGCTGCCCGAGACTCCGTCTCAAAAAAAACCAAAAACAAACAAAAACAAAAACACCCAGCAATCAGCCCAAATTTCCCTCCTGACTCCTCACGGAGATATCTGGGTGATACAGGAGTTAAGAAGAAATTATTTAGACAGATAGTGAGGATAAGGAAGTCCTTGGTAAGGTTTCCCTTTTCATAAAGAGCAGCCCCCCAGTGTTTTTTTTTTTTTTTTTTTGAGACGGAGTTTCGCTCTTGTTGCCTAGACTGAAGTGCAGTGGCGCCATCTCGGCTCACTGCAACCTCCGCCTTCCGGATTCAAGCGATTCTCCTGCCTCAGCCTCCAAGTAGCTGGAATTACAGGTGCCGGCCCCCACGCCCGGCTAATTTTTGTATTTTTAGTAGAGAGACAGGGCCTTGAACTCCTGACCTCAGGTGATCCGCCTGCCTCGGCCTCCCAAAGTGCTGGGATTACAGGCATGAGCCACTGCGCCCGGCCAAATCATTTCTTTTCTAACAAAAAGCAGCCTGTAAAATTGAGCTGCAAACATAGATAAGCAAGTCGGAAGCTTGCAGAGGTGAATGCCTGCAGCTGTGACAATAGGAAAAGGCTACCTGGGGGCTAGACATGTCCAACATGGAGGCTCCATCTTCCCTTTCCTTTATCAACCATGTGTACAGTAAGGAGCTGACAATGTGGTGCTGGCCAGTTAAAAAAACTCATTTGCATAACAAAAGATTAGGGTGGGGTGGCCAACTTCTTCACGGGCTGTATAAATGTCATGCCTGGTCCAACCAATCTTTGGGCCCTATGTAAGTCAGACACAGCCTCCGCAAACCAGACTATAAAACCCTGTGCATTTCACCACCAAACCAGAAGACCCCCTCGGGATCTCCTCTCTCTCTGCAGAAGGGAGAGCTATTTCTCTTTTTTCTTAATTTCGCCTATTAAACCTCCATTCTTAATCTTCACTCCACGTGTGTCCGTGTCCTTGATTTCCTTGGCATGAGGCAACCAACCTCAGGTATTACCCCAGACAAACGATGCCGCTTCATGGGGACTCCTCACCTGGGATGTCTGATCCTAGAATTGCAGGAGTGAGCAGACTCAGGGTAGTTATTTTCCCCATCTGTATTTGGTTCATGCTAACTGATGCCTCCACTTTAACAGGCAAGCCCTGCCCCATCCTTTCCCTGTTAGCCTGTGGGACTCTCGTGAGAACACAGATACGTGTGCAGCTACAGAACCACCCTTTTCCTTGCTCTCTTGTCATTTACTTGCCTTCTTTTTATTTTGCTCCAAATGGCTCTCAGGGCATAATTTGATAAGGTACAGCACAGACCTGAATATAAAACTAATACATAATAATAATATTTCATATTTATTAAGTACGGACTATGTGCCAGCCACTGGGCTAAGTGCTTTCCATACTTCATTTGTTTAATCCTCACCAGACCCCAAGACAGAGCTGCAGCCAGCTGTTTCCTAGGCAGTCCACTCCGATCTCTCCTAGGCACCAAGACAACATGTTCAAAACAGGAACCATGGCCTTCTTCCCCATGTAGCTCAAGCCAGAAACCTGGGACTCCTCCTTCTGTAATCCTCACCCAACATCCAGCCAACTGCCGACCCCTGACAGTCCTAAATCTAAGTCTCAATCTCATCTGGGTGCAGTGGCTCACGCCTGTAATCCCCGCACTTTGGGAGGCCAAGGCAGGTGGATCACTTGAGCCCAGGAGTTTGAGACCAGCCTGGGAAACATGGTGAAACCCCATCTCTATTAAAAATACAAAAAAATTAGCCGGGCATGGTGACGCACGCCTGTAATCCCAGCTGAGGATTACTCAGGAGGCTGAGGCATAAGAATTGCTCCAACCAGGGAGGCAGAGGTTGCAGTGAGCTGAGATAGTGCCACTGCACTCCAGCCTGGGCGACAGAGGGAGACTGTGTCTCAAAGAATAATAATAATAAAACAAATAAATAAATCTCAATCTCTCCTCATGCCTCCACCTGTCCCCAGCCCTCCTAGTCCCAGCATCTGTCTCTGGATTACTATCATACCTCCTGGCTATTCTCTCCATCACCAGCCCTTCAATCTGGACTGGCATAGGAGCCAAGTGACTTTTCCATCTCACCTTGCCACCCTTTGCCCTTAGGTTAAAGCCTAAACTTCCCAGGGCTTCCCAGGCCTTTCATGCCTGGTCCTTACCTTGCAGCCTTGTAACAACTTGCTCAGTGACTCCCAGCTCCAAAGATCTACTTCATTCTCTGTGACTTTTAAGCCTTTGTTCTAAACTATCTGAATTCTTTCAGTATAACTTCCTCTTCCTCATGTCTCCCAAATCCTTCTTTTTTTTTTTTTTTTTTTTTTGAGGCAGAGGCTTGCTCTGTCGCCCAGGCTGGAATGCAGTGGCTCGATCTCAGCTCACTGCAACCTCACCTCTTGGGTTCAAGTGATTCTCCTGCCTCAGCCTCCCAAGTAGCTGGGATTACAAGCATGAGCCACCACACCCGGCCTCCCAAATCCTTCTTATTCATCCTCCAGGTCTCAGACTAAACAGAGGAGCTTTTCCTGATCGCCAAATCTGGCATTCCTGCAAACTCTCATACACCCTACATTTCTCCTGTGGTAGGGCTTACCACAGCACCTCTAGACAAATCCCCTGTAGTAGGCAGATTAATGTCTTCCCACAGATGTCCATGTCCTAATCCCTAGAACCCAGGATACAAGGCAAAGGGGACTTTGCTGATGTGATTAAGCTAAGGATTTTAAGATTGGGAGATTTTCCTGGATTCTGGAGGTGGACTCTAAATGTAATAAGGGTCCTTATAAAGCAGAGAGTGGGGAGCAGGAGCATGAGGATCAGAGAAGGAGATGTGATGGAGGAAGCAAAGCTCGGAGTGATACAGGCCACGAGCCAAGAAATGTGGGCAGCTGGAGAAGGTGTGAAAATGCATCATCCCCTAGATCTTCCGAAAGGAAAGTGGCCCTGTTGATACCTCGATTTTAGCCCAGTGAGAACCATTTTGGACTGCTGATCTCCAAAACTATAAGAAATTTGTGTTGTTTTAATCCACAAGGTAATTTTTTATAGCAACAATTGGAAACAAATTCATCCCCTGTGTAGATTGCATCCATCTCTATATCCTTAGCATCCAGAACAGTGACTGCTCCATAGCATGTGCTCAATAATATGCGATAGGGTACCATCTTTGAAATATTAACCTCTCTTTTTCTCCTAGCATTTTGCTCCCCACCTCCCTACTCTAGCAGTGAGTCCTGGGGTTCTCTTCCTCAGTGGAGTGGTGTGATTACAAGAAATGGCCAGCTGGTCTCTCTTTGAAGTTTCTTTTTTGTTTGTTTTGTTTTTGCTTTTTTGCTTTGTTTTGTTGTTGTTGTTGTTGTTTTGATGGAGTCTCGCTCTGTTGCCAGGTTGGAGTGCAGTGGTGCGAACTGGGCTCACTACAATCTCCACCTCCCAGGTTCAAGCGATTCTCCTGCCTCAGCCTCCTGAGTAGTTGGGATTACAGGTGCATGCCACCACACCTGGCTAATTTTTGTATTTTTAGTAGGGATGGGGTTTAAGCATGTTGGCCAGGACGGTATTGATCTCTTGACCTTGTGATCCACCTGCCTTGGCCTCCCAAAGTACTGGGATTACAGGTGTGAGCCACCGTGCCCGGCCCTCTCTTTGAGTTATTATGTATATTTGTGGTTGTATTTGCCACTGATTGATGGAAGATAATAGAGAGAAAATGGCCCTGAGAAGAAATACCCGAGATTTAAAAGAAGAAGGGATTTCTCTTGAAGACAAGGAAAAGATTCCTTTAAGCAGGAGGAGGTGGGAAAAGAAAATATGGCTTGAGAAGGAAGATGGCAACACCCCTGGTGGGAGGGGCTGGGGGTGGCTGAGTGATATGTTTTAGGTAGGCAGGGTCATAGAGCGCCACAGATAGCCCAGCTGAATGTCTGGTGCCCTCCAGGCCTGAAGGGGCCAGCCAGACATCTTAGAAATACCTGTGTGCACAGATCACTGGAACTTCAGGAAGACCACCTTCCAGGGCGTGGCAGTACATGAGTCTTCTGAAACTTACACTAGAACCTTTAACCTTGACTGAGACAAGATCTCAGTGACATGGGAGTTTGACACAGAAATTCAGTCTCATTTTAGGAAAATAAAGAGGTATTTCTTGTGCTCTTGAAATTCAAACCCACTGCATGTATCACTTGAATGAATGAGGGATCCCATGGCTTGCCCTCTGTACTTGTTACTTTCACTTTCCTGCAAAAGTCAACTCTGTTACAACTTCGGCCACTGTCCTGCTACAACTGAAAACTCTTTCTTAACTGTGGAAGTTAGGAAAATATATTTTGGCCAGCCAGGGTGGTTGATGCCTGTAATCTCAGCACTTAAGGTAGGCAGATCACTTGAGGTCAGGAGTTTGAGACCAGCGTGGTCAATATGGTGAAACCTCGTCTCTACTAAAAATACAAAAATTAGCTGGGTGCAGTGGTGTATGCCTGTAATCCCAGCTACTTGGGAGGCTGAGGCAGGAGAATCGCTTGAACCTGGGAGGCAGTGGTTGCAGTGAGCTGAGATTGTGCCAATGCACTACAGCCTGGGTGACAGAGCAAGGCTCTGTCTCAAAAAAAAAAAAAATATATATATATATGTATATATAATCTTTTATATATAATCTTATATATATTATATAATCTATATCTAATCTTTTAATTATATATAATCATATAATATATAATCATATATAATACATATGAGTATAATCTTTTTTTGTTTTTTTTTTTGAGATGGAGTCTCCGCTCTGTAGCCCAGGCTGAAGTGCAGTGGCATGATCTTGGCTCACTGCAAGCTCCGCCTCCCAGGTTCACACCATTCTCCTGCCTCAGCCTCCCGAGTAGCTGGGACTACAGGCGCCCACCACCACACCTGGCTAATTTTTTGTATTTTTAGTAGAGATGGGATTTCACTGTGTTAGCCAGGATGGTCTCGATCTCCTGACCTCATGATCCTCCCGCCTCAGCCTCCCAATGTGCTGGGATTACAGGCGTGAGCCACCATGCCTGGCCCTATAATCTTTTAATTACCCATACCACAGCAAATGTTTTAAATCTAACATCTTGATGGATACCCCAAATACCCTGACTTGATCATTACACATTCTATGCATGTAACGAAATATCATGTGTCCCGTAAATGTATAAAACATTACATATCAATAAAAAATTAAAAGGATCAGGACCCAGCAATTCCACTCCTAGTTATACACCCAAAAGAACTGAAAACAGGTATTGATTAAAAAACCTATAAAAGAATATTCACAGCAGCACTGTTCACAGCTGTCAAAAGATGGAAACAATAAATGTCCATCAACCAATGAACGGATAAGCAAAATGTGGCTTATCCACACAGCAGAATATTATTCTGCCAAAAAGGAATTATGTACTGATACTATATTGATATGTGCTATAACATGGGTGAAACTCAAAAACACGCTAAGTGAAAGAAGTTAGACACAAAGGTCACATATGGTATGATTCCATTTAAATGAAATATCCTGAATAAGCAAATCCATAGAGACAGAAAGAAGATTAATGGTTGCCAGGGGCTGGGGAAAGGCAGAGTGGAGACTGGCTGCTTACTGGGTATGGGTTTCCTTTCAGAATCATGAAAATGTTTTGGAATTAGATAGAGGTGATGGTTGCACTAATTAAGAATGCACTAAAAGCCACTGTATTGTACACTTAAACATTTTAATTTTATGGTATGTGAATTTTACCGCAATAAAAAAAATTTAAAGGATCCTTTGGGCTGCTGTGTGGCGAATAGACAGAATTGAGGCCAAGGCAAAAACAGGAGAGCAGTGAAGAAGCTCCTGCAATAGTCCAAGTGAAAGATGATGGCAGCTTGAACAGGCTGATAGTGGTGGAGGTGATGGGATGCAGGAGAATTCTGGATATACATATTTTTTTTTTGAGGTGAAGTCTCGCTCTGTCACCCAGGCTGTAGTGCAGTGGCACGATCTTGGCTCACTGCAACCTCTACCTCCTGAGTTCAAGCAATTCTCCTGCCTCAGCCTCCCAAGTAGCTGGGACTACAGGTGTGTGCCATCACAACTGGCTATTTTTTGTACTTTTTTTTAGTAGAGATGAGGTTTTGCCATGTTGGCCAGGCTGGTCTCGGACTCCTGACCTCAGGTGGTCCACCCTTCTCAGCCTCCCAAAGTGCTGGGATTACAGGCGTGAGCCACCGCACCTGGCCTGGATATATAATTTAAAAGAGAAGTTCCTCAATATCCTCTCTGAGGGATCCTGTGGGCTGTAGACCCTCTGAAGCCCTGGTAGTTCTGGCTTCTTTCACTTAGCATGTGTTTGAGTTTCACCCATGTTACAGCATGCATGAGGATATAATTCCTTTTTAAGGCTGCATAATATGCTATTGTGTGGATATACCACATTTTGTTTATCCATTCGTTGATTAATGGACATTTGATTGTTTCCACCTTTTGACTTTCAGCTCTGAGTGAGACTAGATTTAGGAAACTTACGTGTTCCCCACCTAAAGGCAGCCACTGAGCTCAAGGATGGCCACAGTGAATAAAGTGCTATGGGCCATAGAGACATTTTGTCAGACACAGTGTGTTGATAGTCACATTCTCCTCAATGAAGGATTACACTCCACTTAAGAGTGGATAGAGTTAAATCTCTATATAAACTGTTTTCTTCCCTTCCATCAATAAACATTGCTTTGAGAGACAGCCAAATACGCTTATAGGTCTTAATTGTTCAGAACAGTGACTAAGCCCCACTTGGTCAAGATTTTCTTGACTTAGCAGCTGTCTGCAAAAGTGACAAATTTATGATTTGAGAGCAATTTCATTTTTCTGCCTTAACCACACAATAATTTGTGGGAATTAGCTACCTGATAAGATAAGGGCCGGGGGTGGGGAGATGTGGAGGGGAGGGGAAGGGGCATTCAATACCCCTCAGTGTTCCAGGGAGGGCGTTGGAATTTTTGGAGCAGTCCTGGACACACTGCAGGGACCATTAAAGGATTAACCAGCCCTGACGGAGCGGCTGCACAGCGGTGAAGTTAGTAAATCATGGGCGGCCGGGTCATTATCCCGGGAATTAGCTCAAGTTGTATCCGCAGAGACACCAGCTATCAATAGGCGTCTCCAAGGAGAACGCCAAAACCCGACGCTGAACTCCAGCACTTGAAGGGCTGAGACTTCCAGGTCACAGGCTGCAGGGCTTGTTCTCTGTTTCTGGCACAGACCTTCTCTCTCCAAAATCTCAAATCCTGCCTTCACTATCAGCACATTTTTGTGGGGGCAATCCATTGCAAGTTTATTTCTCTCCCCCAAATGGTATTAACTGTGGGGTTAGTTCCTTTAGGGAAAAAAATGTGCCAAAACACAATTACAAGCACTTACTGGAAAAAAAGAAAACTTTTTCCATGGCATTTGTCAACACAGAGATTTAGGTTTTTGCCTTTTCTTTTTCTTTTTATGTGGTTTTTCTTATTACTTGGTGGAGATGAGAAGGGAGAGTGTTATTTCATTGAAACATAGAACTACTAAAAAAAACCCTGACTAATCCATCTGGCCTATGGAATATGAAAGTACTTGACGAAGGCAATAAGTGGAAATAAAAAATGTATATTAATTGCTTGTGTTTCGCTCCCCAGATGCCCAGCAAAACGGCAGCAAATCTTTTCCCCTGACCCTCTTCAAGACATTTATTAATTACGCTGCCGAGTGAGGCTCTGTTTGAGGAATCTGTCTCTGTGTCCTCATGGAGTTTGACTGCCATCTGAAAGAGCAATTTTGCAGAAATAGGGGATTTTGTGTTGCTGGTTTAAGGGCTCTTAGGCCCCTAATGCACCATGGCTGAAGGAGTGTTAACAGATGAAGTAGAACTATTCAGCCTGATTCAGTCAAGTAACCTGCTACCAAGCGAAGGTCCTGAGGGCGTCAGGATCAGGGGTGGGTTTCTTGATAAATAAATGATGAACACGCCCACTGGGAGAAGGGGACACGTGTGGTGGTTAGCAGTCCAGACCTCCGCAGTCCCAGGGCCTGGATGTAATCCCAGCACTGTCACTTTTTGTCTGTGATTGTGGACAAATCACTTGATGTCTCTGAGTCTCAGTTTCCTCATTTATAACATGAAGAAAATAATGGTAACTTCTACTTAGTAGTTGTAAGGATTAGGAGGGGTCATAGCTGTGAAGTGTTTAGAGCAGTACCTGGCATAGCATAAGAACTAAGAACATGCTAACTGGCTATGGTTATCTTTGTTTTGGGGGGCAAAGGAATGCTTTTTTTGCTATGCCCAGGACAAACACAGCTCATGCTCAGGGACAGTTTCTGGTTCAATGCTGGACTGTGCTTTGTTTGTGGCCACTTTTCTGATCTCAGCCAGGGGAAAGAGGGGACAGAGCACTGGACTTGGGGTCAGAAGACCTGGTTCCAAGTATCTTCTTCTCCACCAATGAGGTGAGCAGACTTGCGAGAAATTTCTTACCCGCTCCAAGCCTCAGTTTCCTAATTTGTCAAGTGGGGACACTCATCTGGACCTCACTGATGTATTGTGAGGGTCACATTAGATAACTAATTCATGACACATGTGGCTGTGCTGTGTAGGCTGGAAAGTACTCTATGAATAGAAGGTGGTAGCAGTCGTAGCTGGTAATAATGACATCATGGACTGTCAATATCATGGATTGTCCCTCTGACAGCCTTGGTCCCAAGGAGAGACTGGGAATGGAAGATAGGAAAGATCAGAATGATCTTAACTCCATAAATGCCTTTACTCCCTGGCAGTGAGACAAAAGTATCACCCTCGCCCATAGAAGTCAGGTAGATCTTTGCAGAGATAATACCCCTCTTGCAGCAGCTCTGCCTGCAACACTGAAATCACACCAATAATAGTGAACTTGATCGCTTCATTCTCCTGCCTCCTCTGGAATAGCCATTTTGAAGTGCGTTGAATAAACCCCTGTCCGGCTCTAGTGCCAAAGGATGGGCCATGTGCACAGTAGGTGGAGTGACGCCAGTAAATGTCACTGGCCTCCGTTCCCCAGATCCAGGCAGAAATGGAGCAGAAGCTGGCGCAGGCCTGCTCTCCACAGCTCATGGTTTCATGGTGGGAGGAAAGCAGCAAAGACAGACCAGGACTTAATTCAGAAGAAGTCCTGGTCTCTTTTTTCCTTGCATGGCTGAGCTCCCTTTAATGCACTGTGTGATGTGTTAAGCTGTATGGTTTTGTAAAAACCCACCCCTAAAGCAGTGTGTGATTTCTGAATGCAAAGTGCCCTATTTAGAACTTTCACAAGGTCTACTGCCACCTTAGCAGGAAGCAGCTCTGGGTCAGATGGGAAGACGGTCATGATTTGGAACATGATATATCTGATTTCTATACCTTCCTACTAAGAATCATGCATGCAGGATCAAATACCCACAAGCCTAAGACTTCCTGGAACTATACCTAGCCATGGAAGTGTGGAAGCTGGGTTTATCACTACCCTTTCCTGTTTCAGCTCTATTTCTTTCACATGAGGACCCACCATAGGCTACGATCTCTAAAAGCAGAGATCTTGGATAAAAATGCATTATGTTATAGCACAGGTTCCAAGTTAACCACAAATGAACTGAGGAGGCCATTCTACATGACCAATTTGCTCTTTCTTTATTTTAGACGTATTTTATCAGAAATACATTTCCAAATTATTCCACTGCCACCTACTTGAACTCTTCTAAATCCAGCAACCCTATATCTAAAATATCCTGAGCTAGACCTCCCAAATGACCTCATATTCTGCCCCTTATATTCTAACCCACACAGGCTCTCAATCCAGTACTGGTTCTCAATCCACATCAATTGCCCAGGAATGGCAACCACATTGTCTGATTCAGACATGGCCATGATTTCTAGCTTCATTTTAAAAAAAAACTATTATAAAAATAATGTGTTTGGGCCAGGTACAGTGGCTCATGCCTGTAATCCCAGCACTTTGGGAAGCCGAGGCGGGCAGATCACCTGAGGTCAGGAGTTTGAGACCAGCCTAACAACATGGAGAAATCCCGTCTCTACTAAAAATACAAAATTAGCCGGGTGTGGTGGCGCATGCCTGTAATCCCAACTACTTAGGAAGCTGAGGCAGGAGAATCGCTTGAACCCGGAAGGTGGAGGTTTCAGTGAGCCAAGATTGCACCATTGCACTCCAGCCTGGGCAACAAGAGTGAAACTCTGACTCAAAAAAAAAAAAAAAAAAAAACTGTTTGCTAGATAAAATAATTCTAAATGAAGTCTATAGAATACAAGGTAAAAGTAATCCTTTCAGTTGATCCTCTACCCTCAGACACTGAGTGCTCATTTATATATAACATTTAAAAGAAAAATGGAATCTTGTTATATGTACTGTCTGCAATTAATTTTCTTCACTTAAAATATATTGGGTATCTTTTCATAAATATAAATTTTAGAGCAGGAAAGTGGGGTACATGAATCCCCGGGGGAACCATGGATGGACTTCAGGAGTTCAGGACCGTGAAATTTTATGTGAATACACATGTTTGCATTTTCCAGGGTTCACGGTGTTCCACAGGTCTCAGAGGACTCACCCCCAAAATGTATAAGCAAAAACACCCCAACCATGTGCGCAAGGCTTTTTTATACTGGCTGCTCTAAAATCACAGGTAATACTTTTAGACATCATTGTTGAATTGCTACTGTGATATATTAGTCTAATGATGACTTTTATGAAATTGCCTTTAAATGCTAAGTAAGTTCAAGCACAGAAACTCAAGTTAACTCAGTAACTTGCTCAGTAGACCACACTGTACCTCTCTTTGCTCTGTAAATTTTGTAGCAGCTTTGGGCCAAAAGCAATAAAATCTGACCTGGACAAATCTCTGTAGTAACAACTGTGCTATTATTGGGATCCCTGTGCTGTAAGTCTGCATGATGTTCCATCCAAACAAAATGGAGCAAAAATAGAGCGAAAAATCATCCCTAGTCAGGATGATTTTAGAAGAAGGAAGGACAAGAGGAATTTAAAGTCTGTGTTGCAGATCAGTTTCTAATTCCTTTCTTCCTCCAACCATACTACAGGCCAATGAGTTTAAAACACGCTTAGCAAATACCTCCAGCCCTGCTTTATCACGACTGGAAATTATCGTGTTAATTTGCATGTTTCCTTGTTTATTACTTGTATCCACAGGCATCCCTTAGAATGTAAGCTCTATCATTGGTCCTGGTTGTTGCTGTATCTTCCGTTGCCTAACAGGTGTGTGGCAAATTGTACTTAATCAAATTCAGTTAAATGAATGAATGAATGAACGGAATGAATGTTGCCCTGAACACCAAACTCAGATGAGAGTTTGCCCATGCTTTCTGATCTCCAAAAGCTGTGTCTTACCATGAGCCACAGTCCCAAGTTTATAAAGGACAAACATAGTAAGGTGCCTATTTGGAAGTTGCAACTCAGGACTGCAGCATCTCAGCCCTAAGCGAGCCATTAACTCTAGTTGTTAAGGGGATAACAATGACAAACATCTTTTCCATTCCCTAATTGTGTAGTGGGAGAATGATGCTTTTTTATTTTTAACCTCATCCTGGGTTTTAGGATGACAAAATGCACCAGGGTGTACCATGCAGTGATTTCACCCTGTGACACAGTGGGAGAGGTTGCGTGGAGACACGAAGCAGCTGCTATGCTGTTCATTGGTACCCTGACCCTGTTCTTACCCAAAGCAGTCAGCAGCCTGTCCTCTTGGCCTGACCTGCAGCCTGAAGCTAGGTAAGGCAGCCAAGGCTCCAGAGGGAGAAGAAGTGCTGCCCCACCCCCAGCTCCCACCCCACCCCCTCTCTAGCGCAGCCATGTCGTTACTTGGACTCATAAATCCTGAACCAGTATTTGATCCCACAAAGCAAGATCGTGGTTATCTGGGTGGATAGGCCTGTCACGGGGCCTGTAGACAAACCACAGCCAGGCTGGGCCGTACTGGATCATTAGTCACCAGGACAGAAGTTCTGCCCCGGGTCAACCCCAGGGCCAGTCCAGCTCTGGCCTCAGACAGGGCCCCAGGAGGACAGCTCATTATTGTTCTCAGGAACTCAAAGTCAAGCCTTCCATTCTTTTGGGAGGTGAGGGGGGGAGGTAGGTGAATAAATAAATCTCTTGCATCTGTCTGCAGTGCTGTTCAAACTCTAGTGTGCCTAAGAATGATCCGGAGAGCAAGTTATAAATGCGGATGATCAGACTCCATTGCCAGAGATTCTGATTCATGGATCTCATTCCAAGATGACACTCCAACCACCTACAAACTGTCTGTGCCACATCTCAAAGACTGGTTTCATGCTATCTAGCCATCGATACCCTCACCTCCACCCATCTACCCAGCCTCTGTGTAGGAGGCTGGAGAATGGTGAGAAGGTAGGGTGTCTCTGGAATTCTGGAACAATTTGGTACACACTTTTCTGCTTTAGGGGGTAGATGACAACTGCATGAGCAGGACTGGGACCTAAGAGCCAAGAGGGCAGAGCCTGGAACTCCTGGGGCTGCCACTGAGAAATGGGTTAGCTTCTCTGATAATAACAATAATAATGACGATTCATTGGCTACTTCTACCTGCCAGGTACTGTGCTGAGTGGTTTCTATGTATTATTTCCTAAGGCAACAACCTTGCTTGATAGGATCATTGTTATTCTCATTTTTCAGATGAGGTACCGAGAGGCTAAATGACTTTCTTTTTTTCTTTTTTTTTGAGACAGAGTCTCGCTCTGTTGCCCAGGTTGAAGTGCGGTGGTGAGATCTCAGCTCACTGCAACCTCCGCCTCCCGGGTTCAAGCAATTCTCCTGCCTCAGCCTCCTGAGTAGCTGGGATTACAGGCATGCGCCACCACGCCTGGCTAATTTTTGTATTTTCAGTAGAGACAGGGTTTCACCATGTGGCTGGTCCCGAACTCCTGACCTCAGGTGATCTGCCCTCCTCGGCCTCCCGAAGTGCTGGGATCACAGGCGTGAGCCCCCGCCCCCGGTCTGGCTAAATGACGTTCTAGCAAGTGTCATTGCCTTTACTCCAGCCCCAGCAGGATGATTTTGGACACTGTACTCTAAACCCTTGTCTCTCCAGGCAGCCCAGATGTGGGCTAAGGACTAGCAGCAATGGTGTCTGTGATGATTTTAAAAATACATCCATACATTTGTTGATTTTCTTCCTTTCAAGGGATGGGGCTTAGTTTCTCTCCCCTTCAGTGTGGGCTGGAGTTCATGACTCCCTTCTGATGAATAGAATGCAGTGGAAGTGATAACATGTCGCTTCTGGGATTATGTGTAAAAAGGCTACAGCTTCCATCTTAGCAAGAGCCATGATATGGGCAGCCCTTTGGAGAGGCCCACACAGCAAGGAGCTCCAGCCTACTGCCAATAGCAGTGCAGGGAGACTGGAGAGTGCAGCCCCTTCAGAGCCCGTGGTCTGGCTGACAGCTTGCCTGTCATGTCCCAAGAAAGCCCGAGCCAGAATCATCCAGACAAACTGCTTCCAGATTCCCAACCCTCAGAAACTGCGTGATAGAATAAATGTTTGTTGTTTTATGCTGCTAAGTTTTGGAGGTAATTCATTACGCAGCAGTAGACAATGAACACGGCATCATTTGGGAGCTTTTTAGAAATGCAGACCTCAAGGCTCAACCGAGATGTACTGGGTGGGAGGGAACACTGGAGCCAGCCCCCTGCCCCACCGGTGACTCACGTGCATGTTAAGTTTGAGAAGCACTGCTCTAGGCCACTCCAACCTCAGTGAAGCACAGAGACAGAAACCCATATGTACCGCCCAGGGCAAGTCTTGAAGCCAGCTCATCTGTCTTTCCTCTTTCCCCCATTGCTCTCACTCTGTAAGGGAAGCCAGAAGCCTCTGTCCAGTAGCCCCTCCCTGGCTGCCCCTTTTTGCTTGGCTTACTAAGCATCCTACTCCTCCACCCCCAGACCCAGCAAGTGACAAATGCCTCCTTGTACGAAAATCTCAGTAATGGTTTGCTGGAAACAACTCAAAGGAGTACTTTAGATGAGAACCCGGGGGGTATTCATGGATGCCAGATAACACACACATTGGGGAATCACCCAAAGGATATGATGCCATAACATAAATGTGCATTTGATTCTTTTTCTTGATATGAGGCAAGACCACTTCTAGGGATCTCCCACTTGTGGGGATTTCTGATTTAGAAGACCAATTCGACATGTTGGAGAAGAGAGTAGGGAGAGAGGGGAGTAGGGAGAGAGCGGAAGGGCGTGTTTTGGTTTTAAGTTATGAACAAATTGGGATGATTGTTTCTTTTTTACGTCGCTATTTACAATGTATGCCTCCTCTAGGTTATTGGGCACAGATACTTTCTGGAGGACTGAAACTAGCTAAGTTGGCCTTCAGACTGGGGAAGCAGCCTTGTCCACAGTAGGAATCCAGGAGGAAGCTCTGTTGTTTCTTAGCTCCAAGGTGTGGGACATATGGCATGGTGCTGTTACTATGTCAAACAGTTCTTCCTTTGCCATTTTTCTTGAGCCACTAGCCAGTATCTTTGGGAGTGTTTTGGGAATACCGCAGAGTAGTTGAGCAGGTAGGTGATACATGGCTCCGGCCAACCTTTGTAGCTGTGTTTCTGGCCAGTACCCACTGTGTACTTTTTTATGATAGCCAAATGGAGCTTTTTTTTTTTTTTTTTTTTTTTTTTTGACAGAGTCTTGCTCTGTCACCCAGGCTGGAGTGCTGTGGTACGATCTTGGCTCACTGCAATCTTCACCTCTTGAGTTAAAGCGATTCTCCTCCCTCAGCCTCCCGAGTAGCTGGGATTATAGGCATCCACCACCACACCCGGCTAAGTTTTGTATTTTCAGTAGAGATGGGGTTTCACCATATTGGCCAGGCTGGTCTCAAATTCCTGACCTCAGGTGATCTGCCCGCCTCAGCCTCCCAAAATGCTGAGATTATAGGCATGAGCTACCATGCCCGGCCAAATGGAGCTACTTTTTATTTTGCAAAAATATCGTGGGTTTCATACCTAGACCTCTGAGGATGCTACTCCCTCTGCTTGTGGTCTCCTCCTCCCTTTGCATATGGCTGACGAATCACCTTAATTTTCGGCTGAAGAATCACCTCCTCTGAGAAGTCACCCTAGATTAGGTCTCTTGTCCCTCCTTAGTTCTTTGATGGCACCTTGTGACTCTTCCCTTATTCTTTTCATCACTCTGTAAGTGCTGATTTATTTTTCTCCCCTACTTGACTAGGAACACCACTGAAGGGCTGTGTTTCACTCATTGTTTCATTTATCAGAGGGTCTGGCACAGAGTAAGTGCTCAAAATTTATTTTTTGAACAGATTCATGAGTGATCATTCCCTGTGGCTAGAATAGTGCTTGGCCCTGGTCTATGTTCAATAAAGGTTTATGGAATAAATTGTTGTCTGCCACTCATTTCTCCGGAGAGGTTAGAAAATGATGAAGCTCTTGAAGAATGGGGGGCACCTGGGGAATGAAGGCCTTGAACAACTCTGGAAGCCCTTGGAAAACTGGAGACAGTCTGCCTCGGTCCCTCCCTCTTACACTGGAGCTGACTGGAGACTCAGCGAGTGCCCTGCTTTCATCATGCTTGTTGCTTCTCTCACTTCTCTTGACTTGATAAATTGAACTGAACTTTCTGGTCTGAAAGGTGCTGCCTTATTGATTCAAAGGCTGGCAACAGTGACCCCAGCCTAGAAACATTTCCTGGGGATCAAATAACCAGCTCCTCTCAGCACTCATCAATCTGCAGCCTGGCTAAATGTCCACTTACTCTAGGACTTACTACCTGAACCCTAACCCTAAGTCCCCTAGGCCAGGGGATGGCCTGCATAATTTACTGTCATCTTTATTTCCCAGGGTTGTAATTTAGAAGGGCTTGCTGTTTAAGGCAAAACAAAGTAATACTTTGGTTCACCGAAGGCTCTGAGTGGTGCCACTTTCATGGAATAAAAATATTAAGCCCCTATCAAAAATGCTTTTACATACATTTTCTTATCTAGCTTACATAAAATTCTGGAGATAGCCATTAATATTGCCAAGTTATTAATAAGGAAATAAGCTTCAAACAGCTGGACAACATCCTGCAGATTGTTCTCTACTCAGGGGTGCAATGCTCCACTAGATGCTAATAATAAATATAATAGGAATACTTATTATTACTAATTGTTGACATTAGTTCTTAGTTAATATTTATAATTCTAATTATTATATTAATATAAATCATTGCTTTGTATTACTAATTGTTCATATTGTTAAATGAGTTGTTTCTTTAGTGTTTATCATACATCAGGAACTGTATTTAGTACTTTACATAGATAATCTGATTACATTGTCGCACCAATTTTGTAGGTCATACTAGTATGAGGATAATGGGAATATATAACTGCAACCATACTTGCAGATATTGAATCTTACAGAAATTAAGTAACTTGCCCAGGATTACAAAGGAAGTACCCATAGCCTAACCCTGGTTAACTTGACTCCTGAACTGGCATCCCTACTTGCTAATCTGTGAACTCCACTAGGGTCAGGACCAGAGCCATGGAACCTACTGCTCTTCCCTCATGGCCTGGCACAGACCTAGCATATGATAGGAACTCAGTGAATCATTGTAAGATGAAAGCCTGGTCCTGTTTCCAAACTTGATATTCTTTCTAATTTTCCATTCTGCCTCCAACATGAAGAAAGCAGCTCTGAGCTATAGGTTTGGAGGCCAATTGGACCCATTTCCTACTCATCACTGAAGCTTTTTCTCCCCCACTGAACCTCAGTCAGCTCATGGTCAAAATGGTCATAAGGGTTCATGCCTATAATCTCTACTAAAAATACAAAATTAGCCAGGCATGGTGGTGCATGCCTGTAATCCCAGCTACTTGGGAGGCTGAGGCAGGAGAATCACTTGAACCTGGGAGGCGGAGGTTGCGGTGACCTGAGATTGCAGCACTGCACTCCAGCCTGGGCAACAAGAGCAAAACTCTGTCTCAAAAAAAAAAAAAAAAAAAAGAGCTGTTTGTGTTTTTATCACCACTCATGCCTCTTCAGCATGCCATTCTGTGATAATAGTTTCTATCTCAACCTTTATATTTTGCTGTAAAACAAATGATAGCAAGTGGCTCTTTAAGGGAATGATTTTCATTTGGAGTGATTCAAAAGTCTGGCATTTAACTTTTACGGAAAACAGATCTATCTTCTACCACTAAACTAGAGAATTGTTGACTGGAAGTAATCTTACTAAACCAATTAAAAAACTCTTCATGGATCTTTCTCATCAGCAGTTCAGCAATTCATATATCTTTCAGATATCAGAAGAGGCTAATCTTGTGTGTGTTACTAAGGAGTCCACTGTGTATGTTTTGTAAACACACATAGAAGAATCCAAGAAGAAAACCAGGACAGTTAGGAAGCTTGCATCCTCTCTTCTTCCTTATCCTGGGGTGAAATGAAACAGAAGTGGAAGATTATGTTCTTTTCCCCATCTTAATTTAGCAAACTAGGAATTGTTTCAACTGAGTCCTATAAAGATTGCATATGCTGCACAAATATTTCCCATATATAACAGACTTTGGGGTTAGGTTTTTCAGCAGTGAGTCTGAAGGCAGTGCAAAAATATCCCTGTAAAATCTTTTCTGTTTTCAGCTAAAGATTGCTTTCACCATTTTCAGAGGCCTCTACACAATTCAACAGATGTATTGGGTATTGACTGTATCTGTCAAAGCACATAGGGACTGGCATAGAGAGGGGTACCAGCCACAGCATGAGGAAGGTGATCATCAAGACAGGAAAAACGGATGTGAGTGGGCAGGGCCAGAGTAGAGAGAGTCTGCATTGGGACAGCAAGTAGAAAAGTCACTTGTGGGCCAGGCTCAGTGGCTCACCTGTAATCCCAGCACATCTGGAGGCAGTGGCGGCCAGATCCCTTGAGCCCCGGAGTTTGAGACCAGCCTGGGAAGCATGGTGAAACCTCATCTCTACAAAAAAAAAAATTAGCTGGGAGTTGTGGTGTGCACCTCTAGTCCCAGCTACTTAAGAGGCTGAGGTTGGAGGATCGACTAAGCCTTGGAGTTTAAGGCTGTAGTAAGACATGATCACACCACTGCACTCCAGCCTGGGTGACAAAGTAAGATCCTGTTTCAATTACAAAAAAAAAAAAAAAAGGAAAGTCATTTGTGCAGAAAATACTGGTAGCCAGTTACTAATAGCTAACATTTTTTATGCATTTACTGTTTGCTAGACAGTGTGTTTGCAAACACACTGTCACTTTACTTACTTTCTCATTGATTCATCACAACTGTAAGGTGTGGATACCGTTATTAAACTCCCTTTTAAGATGGGACTTCCTTGCCCAAAGCACACCTTTGGTAAATGATGGCATTAAGGCCTAAAATTCAGACGGACCCCAAAGCCCAAGTTCCTAACCACTGCCCTGACCCATCTCTTAATCAAGCAGAAACCAGTGTACTCAGGATGCTGTATATCTGAAAGTAGAAATGATTTTGTAAAGGAAAATGAAGTCTAATTTTCCCGCTGCAAATTAGAAAATTCAGCTCTGAAATCTGAGTGTTGGATATGAAGAGATCAGAATCTTATATTTTTTTCATTTGAATATCCCTGGGATGGACATGTTATTTCAGTGGCCTTCAGTGAGGCTGGGAAGAGCGGGACTTTGATCTGTAACACTTCCACACCCTACCCCTTCTCCACTGTTCAGGGCTGCTATCATTTTCGTTACCATTTCAAGTTGCTATTTGATTTCTCCATCACTCCAGAGCTGCCTCATGTCCTAGATGTGATTTGTTTCTTAGTATTAGAGGAAGCAGGTGCTAGAGCTGGAAGGGACTTCAAGACATTATCTCGTCTAACCCTCCCATTTTGCAGATGAGAGAAACTGAGTTCCAGAGAAGTAAATCATCCCAGCTCACAGAGCTGGATAATAAGTCCCCAATGAATTGTTCTTTTTCGTGTGTAATGGTGGTGTTTTTTGAGAAAACATGAAAGGGGCCCCCAGAATTCCCCAAAGCCTGAGATAACCACTGGTGGTTCTCAAGATGATTTAGGTGATGTTCAACAGCATTTAACTTCTCTGTCAATCCTCCTTGTGTGGGTCAAAGAGGTAATCTCCATTTGGCCCTGTTTTTCACACTTAACACTTGGTAATCTCTCTTTTTAACAAAGTTCAGGCTCATATCCTCTGACAGTCAGCAAAGCAGCCAGAGTCTAATAACATTTTTTTCTTTTCATTGTTTTTATTATTGTGCCTCTATTTATGGTAAATTATACTGGCTTTCAATGTATAGTACTGATACAAAGTGTCTTCTAAAATATCTCTATTTATGTTTTTAACAATTGATCTAAACTGTTAAGGAAATAATAGTGCAGCTGGTTCATAATTATGACAAACACCTTGATAATGGCAAGCAAATGACTAAAAGCAGGAGGCATGGCAGTGAACCATTTAAGTGGCAAAGAGTTCAATGATTTCTCAGGCCCTGAGGTAGGCATGTCTCAAATCACACTGCCTGGGCCCTTGCCTACTTTGAGAAGGATCTCCTTTGCATAAGAATTCAGGATGAATTCATAATGACCAGTCACTTAGTGCCGTCCATCCCATGCCCCACAATTCTACCACTACCACTGTCTGGCTTCTCATGGTGTGACCGTGAGAAGCACCCCATCCATAGCCCTTCCATTCCCCAAATGACCTCCAAGTTCCCTTCTCTTCTCCCCATGGATTCTGACACTAAAGATGCCAGGTAACTCCCAGAGAAGGTTGGTGACTCACTGTGGCCCCTGTGACCAGGCTTGGGTGGGAGAAATAACGCTGTGTGTGGCAGGGGAGCCATGCTGGTGTGGGGGTCCCTGGGCCTGCCATCTGGGAACCCAATGGTCCTGGTGTGAGTGACAAATCCTTCTCTAGGGTCCCATTTCCTCATCTTTGCAATAACTGTCACATTCGCCCTTGGACTCCAAGTTCAAATCATTCTGTCCCCCCTTGATCTCATCTCTCTGCCCACAGGGAAGGTGGCCTGAAGAAGGCAGGTGGAAGGGGAAAGGAAATGGCCAGGGAAATGGGAGTTTTCCCATTTGTGAAATGAGAGAGATGTGTGCAGTGGGTTAGTGTCCCAGATTCACAGGGCTGTTATGAGGAAGAGTTAATTAAGATAATGTCTGGGAAATGTCTCAACACAATACCCAGCACATAGTAGGCGCCCAGACGAGCCAGCTGGTTTCACCATCATGAAGCTGCTGGAGGGGCGAGCCAGTCTCTAAGACAGTGGAGGGCTCTGAGAGGTTGTGACTTCACCCAGGGTCCTTGTTGGTGGAGCCGTTCCACAGCCCAGACCAGCCTCTTCCAAGGCTGGACTGGAGAATGGGCTGATTCCCTGCTCCTGAGTCTGACCAGGGACAGAGGGCACAGTCAGAAAACTCACATCAGGAAGAGAGTGATGGGATTGGGGGCTCTTGTGTGGAGGAAAAAAAAAATGACAAGCAAGCAGTCAAAAGGTCAGGAAATCAATTTTTTTCTCCTTACAGATCTATAAGTTGAGAGGCTTGTAAAGGTCAACGTTGTCCTTTTAAAGTACCTCTAGGATTTACATCCTGAGTAACACTTGGTTTCCTCCATGGTAAACATGAAGATCCAATTAGTTTTCCCTATAATTCAAAGAGATCCGAGAAACAGGGACTTTTCCGGTTGGGAGTCAGTTTGGCTATAAAGTTTCTTGCTACACTATTCTGAGGATGAACTTAAATCCATATCTTACCTCCGGCTTGAAAATGAACATCCCTTCTCTTCTTATCATAATGTTTCTGCTTTCTTTTTCACTTCCCCCCCCTTCCTTTGGAGCCTTGGACATATTCCTTTTGGCAATTAGAATAAATTCTTCCTACTTAGTTATTTGCTGCACTCAGTTACCTTAAGAATTTTTCTCCCTGACTTAACTCCAGGAGACGTTTTAAGGTCCTGTCAAATCAGAATGTTGCTGGAACCCAAGCCTGCTGGGCCCTGTTTCTGTCTTTTACAGCGATATGAACTAGTGATCACTGAATATTTCTCTTTTTTATGGCATCCTTAAGCAAGGATGAAATCACCAATGCAGCCGTTCCATGAACCCTGTTTACAGAGGCTGCTTCTCCGTCTCCTGGTTTCTCCCTCTCCCTCTGGGCTTACCAATCCATCCTGTTCTTTCCTGGGGGATGAAGGGGTGAAGTGGGCAATGGCCCAAGATAAAACACCCCCCAGGGTAGGCTGTCTTCTCTTGCTGGGCTGTGGGGCTGGTGTGCTGTCAAGAACAGGGTCAGTTCTGGATTTCTGGGGTGAGGGGATTGGGAGGGTGTCTTTTGCTCCCCTTCAAAGAGGGTGAGAATCAGTCACATTGTAAGTACTCCAGGCCCTCCCAAAAGGCAGGACTGAGCTGGGAAGAGATCTGTGTGTGACTCAAGGAGTGGTAGATCCTTCGTGGAAATCTGGAAGGATCTTATTTTGCTCCCTTTTTCTTTACTTTTTTTCTTTTTTGGGGTGGGGGGCACGGAGTCTCATTCTGTCGCCCAGGCTGGAGTGCAGTGCTGTGATCTCAGCTCACTGCAAGCTCTGCCTCCTGGGTTCATGCCATTCTCCTGCCTCAGCCTCCCAAGTAGCTGGGACTACAGGCACCCGCCACCATGCCTGGCTGATTTTTTGTATTTTTTTTTTTTTTTTTAGTAGAGAGGGGTTTCACCGTGTTAGCCAGGATGGTCTCGATCGCCTGACCTGGTGATCTGCCCGCCTCCGCCTCCCAAAGTGCTTGGATTACAGGCATGAGCCACCATGCCCGGCCTTATTTTGCTCACTTTTGATGAAAAGAAGAGTGAGCTCTTCAATAACAAGAGGATACCCAGTCCAAAGACCATTTGGAAGATTTGGCAGGGGACACTGGACCTGTCTGACTCAATCCCTAGTTGACTGGGGATTCCTGATAATCAGAATAACCAGCATTGATGGAGTATAAATTATCAAAGGCCCAGTTAGAAACACTTTACATGCATTATCTCCTTTAACTTCAGAGCCGTCCTATGACACAGGTGCTATTATTATCTCCATTTCACAGGTACACAAACCAAGGCTCAGACAGGTTAAGTTTCTTGCCCCAAGTCCAAGTGAGTAAGGATGAGGCACATTACATGTAATAGTTTGACACATCATTTTTTTTTTCTCTCCAGCTTTGATGAGTGAAGGAAACAGTGGCTAACCACAGACCTACCTAATATGGTTGAGCTATGGAGGGGTATTTTTATTTTTGGTTCTTAAAAGATTCCTATTTGGTTTTCCTCTTTGCCTGTTGCCTAACAGTCCAGATAGGAAGTATATCAAATCAGAATGCCTTTTGAAGTTGCAAAGAACAGTTCAAAGAAATTCAACTCAAATTGACTTTCATAAAGGAGATTTATGAGCTCATATAACTGCATGTCCAAAACTAGGGTGATCTAGTACCTTGATGACATTATCATGAACTTAGCTTCTTTCTGTTCTTCTGTTTGCCCTTCTATGGTGTCAGCTTCATCCAAAGGCTGACTTGCTTCAGGGTGGCAAGATGGCTGCAGCAGTTCCAGGCTTCACATTTGTGTAGTCAAAAAGGTGAGAGCATTTCTTTTCCCGCATTCCAGGCAAGAATCCAAAGATTTACTCCGGTTGGACAACTTAAGTGGCAGCTAACCCTTGAATCAATCCCCATTCAAGGCCAGGTGAGTAGAATTTATTGACTGACTTAATCCAACTAGTGATCATCCGTGGAAATGGGGGTGGAATTCCATCAGCTACATAAGGTATATCAGGAGAATGACTATCCAAATAAAAATCTGGACAGTTAAGAAGGAGAGAACATAGAATGGTTACTGGGAAATACTTTGTATCTTTGTGTTACTTAAAAATAAAACATATCTTTGGTCAAAAGTGATAGAATGCCCAATGGCTGAAACGCAGGACTTTATTCATCTCACTTAACATGAAATACGAAGGCAGGCCATTCCATTTAGTGTAGTGGCTCAATAATGTTCCCAATGACCTGGACTCTTTCTGCTTTGTCAGACTCAGTGTTTCAGCAATGGTCACAAATGGCTGCTAGAGCTCCAGGCATTACATTCTCAAATGTGACCCAAACAGAGAGGAGGCAGGAGGAAACAAAAGGGCTCTCTTCCCATGCATCTGGACTCTAATGGGGTGGGATAATTTTTCTCAGAAATCCTCCAGCCATCTCTCTCCTCCATCCATTGGCCTGAACTGGATCATATGGCCCTTGCTAGCTATAGAGGAGGCTGGGAAAGTGAATGCCTGGAGTTTTTCAGTATCTGTAGTGGGAAGATGACAAGGAAAAAGTGAACTGAGAAAGGCCTTGGGTAGTCATTCAATAATGTCATGTTTTGGTAATTCTGTGCTAAAGAACTGGAGGCCATGTCCTAAGGTTTTTTTTTTTTTTTTTAGTGTCAATTTAGAGAATGCTACCAGGATGTGACGTAAGGTCTCTTAGCAAAAATCAGGCTCATAAGCAGTTAGCTTTCACCCACACTATCTTTGAATACGATGTTCAATGTAGCAGTTAAGTATTCAAGTGCTGACATCAATGAGAGGTTTATCAGAAGCAAATTTAGGCATCAGCCTACTTCACATTGTCAGCACTAAATGAACACCTCACACCTAATTAAAAACCAGAGGTCTAAAATAGCCTTATAAAAATGGGACATTCCAATATAGACTTTCAATTAGTCCGAAGTTTTTTTTTTTTTTCTAAATGGCAAAAATATTTCCCTACGAATTAATTGCCTAATCTTCAGGGCTCTAAGTTCAGTCTCAAAGTACATTACAAATATCCTATCACTCAATAAATTCCGGCTAGTATCAGCAACATACTTTGGCTTATTTGAAGATTGGAGCAATGAGGCCAAGAAAGTGACTCAATAGATTAGAGGAACAGTAGAATGAAGGATGCTGAGAACAATCTGATTACACACACGCATTTATCAATTATGTTTTCAGTTTTGAACTATCCAACTTTGGACTTTTTTTTTTTCTTCTGACTTCCTTTGAAAAATGACATGAGCAAATTTTTCGCTGCATTTGGAAGCAGACTCTGTTAGAAGACAGAGGCCAGTTGGGGGGAAACTGTAACAAATGAATCTGCTTGGAGGAAAGAAAAACTTAAACCATTCGGAGAGCGAGGGATCCAGGAGTAATTGCAGTTTGGCTAGGCAGGGCCAATGCAGACTTACATTTCAGTACTGACTCACAACCAACATTTCATGGTGCTTTAGCATTTATGAGGCATTTTTACTTACAATGTCAATTGGCCCAGGCTATAATAAATCTTCACTAGAGCATATTTGGTACGTACAATTACAGTGGGATGTAATAGGTATTATTTTTGGCAGCCCAGCAGTTTATCCCCCATCTTCTCTTTCCTGGCAGTTGACTCAGGCCTGGCCAATCACAGCACCCATCCACCTGAACCCATGAAGGACCAATTAGGGTCTTCCCTGGGATTTTTAGTACATAGTCATGTAGTTATCCATCTACCCCATGCTGTAAAACTGGGAGAAAAGACCAGGGCCATAGAGGAGAACAATGGAGATGGATAGAACTTAGCAACACTTTTGGGCCCAGGTTCAATCTGCCTGAAGAAAGTCCTTAGTGATGTCCTAGTTAGGTGAGCCAATAAATTCTGTTTCTGGCTTAGCTACTGTGAGTTGAGTATCTGTCACTTGCATGGAAGAGTCTGCTGACTGATACCACCATTGATACAAGTTACAATCCATCTTTCCAGGTTCAGCTTAAACTGAGTCCTTTGATGAAGTCTTCCTTGTTGACCCTTCCTTTTTCCAATAGCTATATCACTCACTGACTGTAGTGAACAGTACAATGTTGGATGCAATCGCAATATTCTCTTATTTTTTAGATGTCTTTTCAGCTGGAAAGTCCTATGGGAATGGATAATAGGGTCCTTAATTAATAAACAGGAGGCATTCTGAAAATTTATTTTTGGAATTTGTTTGGTTAGAACTTGAAATACATTTCTCCACGGAAGCAAGGTAAGCAATGGTTTAGTGCCCAGACTAGCTCACAAAAGCCTATTTTACGAAGTGTCTGTACAATGTCAAAGAATAATAGAGGTGTCATGCAGAAAACTAGTGCTTGAAAAATAAAGTAAGTTTGATTTGAGAAAACAAGAAGGTTGAAGCAGATTTTTCTGGACTACTAGGAGGAACTTTAGAATTGTGTTGTTCATTTTTTTTTAAGCATTAGTTTTGATTTTTACCAAACTTACACATCCACATGGTCTAAAGAGTCAAATAGTTCTACAAGATTTATCAGAAAAAGTAGCAGTTTCAGAAACATCCACCTTCTCAACTTCCTGCTTCTTGAAGGCAAATGCCTTTAAATTTTTTAGCTATTTATTTTGATAGTTAACACATATGTCGTATTCACTTCCTGATTTTTTCTCTTGTAGGTTTTATCTATTAATTTCCATTAAGGAATATAAGAATTTAAGAATTTGGCTTTCATCCTTGCCTGCCCACTCCTCCACACCCTCCCCCGCCTCCAGCAATAACACGCTGCTCATACACTATCTTCTTGATGTTGTTTTATCATGAATTTGGTTTAATATTTAATATTCTTGTTACTATGACTAGATATATACAATTCACTGCTGAGTCATGTAGTATCAAAGAGTACTAGGATTACTTTTTCTTTCTATCACAACTTAAGTTTTCCCAGGAATAATCTTATATTTTGCTTACTTGCTGAGATTTTAATGTAATTATTAATTTAACCTCAAATTTACTCCCAGCTGGTCTCATGTCTTCTCAATATGGCCAATACCCATTATGTTTTCTATCAATTTCATCTTTTTGGACACATGGCTCTCGGAACCTTCTGACCTGCTCAATTTGGAATCACCGTTCTCTGGTAGCTTTTAAAGAAAAGTGTATGAGATACACACACACACACACACACACACATTTTAGAGCATTCATTTCTAAAAATATATTTATCTTCTCTTTAATGATAACTTGGCTGCATACATAATTCCAGGTGGAATGTATTTTTCCCTTTGAATTTTGAAGTCACTGTACCTTTTTGATGTACCAATTATCATGGACACTGGAGCTAGACTACCTGGTCCAAATCTCAGCTCTACTGTTATTACACGTGTCATATTGGAAAAGTTACTTGGCTCCTTTCTACCTCAGATTTATCTTCTGTAAAATGGAGATAATGGTAGTAGCTCTGTCATAGGGTTGCTGTGAGGATGAATTGTAAAGCACTTAAAATAGTGCATGGCATATAGTTCAAGACTACCCTAAATATTAGCTTTATTGTTTTCCAACTTCTACTGCTGCTGTTGAGAAGTCTGTTCTGATTCTTGATTTTTTTTCTAGGTAACTTATTATTTGTCTTTAGAAGTAGTTAAAAATCTTCAGAATGATGAAATTTCAGAATGATGTTCCTTTGTGTAGGTTCTGATCATTCCAACAACTCAACCTTGTTCTGGGTACTCAACAGGTCTTTTTGTTTTGTTTTGTTTTGTTTTTGTTTTTGTTTTTTGAGATGGAGTCTCACTCTGTTGCCAGGCTGGAGTGCAGTGGCGCGATCTCGGCTCACTGCAACCTCTGCCTCATGGGTTCAAGTGATTCTTCTGCCTCATCCTCCCGAGTAGCTGGGACTACAGGTGCCAGCCACCACGCCGGGCTAATTTTTGTATTTTTAGTAGATATGGGGTTTCACCATATTGGCCAGGCTGGTCTCGAACTCCTGACCTTGTGATCTGACTGCTTCGGCCTCCCAAAGTCCTGGGATTACAGGCATGAGCCATCGCACCCTGCCTCAACAGGCCTTTTCAATCAGGAGACTCACGTCCTTGAAATTGGGAAAATCCTTTTGATTTTTTTTTTTTTTTTTTTTTTTTTTTTGAGACGGAGTCTCGCTCTGTCGCCCAGGCTGGAGTGCAGTGGCGGGATCTCGGCTCACTGCAAGCTCCGCCTCCCGGGTTCACGCCATTCTCCTGCCTCAGCCTCCCAAGTAGCTGGGACTACAGGCGCCCCCCACTATGCCCGGCTAATTTTTTGTATTTTTAGTAGAGACGGGGTTTCACCGTTTTAGCCGGGATGGTCTCGATCTCCTGACCTCGTGATCCGCCCGCCTCGGCCTCCCAAAGTGCTGGGATTACAGGCGTGAGCCACCGCGCCCAGCCAATCCTTTTGATTAATTAGCTAATTTTTTTTTTGAGATGGAGTCTTGCTCTGTTGCCCAGGTTGGAGTGCAGTAGCATGATCTCAGCTCACTGCAACCTCCGCCTCCTCAGTTCAAGTTATTCTCCTGTCTCAGCCTCCTGAGTAGCTGGGATTACAGGCGTGCGCCACCACACCTGGCTAATTTTTGTATTTTTAGTAGAGATGGGGGTTTCACCATATTGGTCAGGCTGATCTCGAACTCCTGACCTCATGATTCGCCCGCCTTGGCCTCCAAAAGTGCTAGGATTACAAGAGTGAGCCACCTTGCTGGCCAATTAGCTAATTTTAATCTAATTGGCTGGGCACGGTGGCTCACCCCTGTAATCCCAGTGCTTTGGGAGGCCTAGGTGGGTAGATCATTTGAGGCCAGAAGTTTAAGACCAGCCTGGCCAACATGGCAAAACCCTGTCTCTACCAAAAATGCAAAAATTAGCCAGGCTTGGTGGCGGACGCCTGTAATCCCAGCTTCTCGGGAGGCTGAGGCAGGAGAATTGCTTAAACCTGGGAGGCGAAGGTTTCAGTGAGCCGAGATTGTGCCACTGCACTCCAGCCTGGGTGACAGTGAAACTTCATCTCAAAAAAAAAAAAAAAACAAAACCAAATTATTACTCTAATGATAGCCTCACTTCTATTTTTTCTGACCTCTCTTTCTGGAACTTCTATCATTTAGTTGGTCTGATCTGCCCTTTATTTTTATATATTTTTACCTATATTTTTTATCCATTAGTCTTTTTGTCATATACCTAATGTTCAAGAGCTCTGCCCTGTTCTAATTTCCTTTTTCAAAAGCCCAAATGAAACCAAACCAAAACAACAGCCTGTTCTTGTTTCAAGTATGCACATCTTTGTTGTTTCTAATAATTTTAATGAAAAAACAAAAACATTGTTTTTCTTTTTCCTTTATAGGCTTGGTTTCTTTCAAGTTGCTGTCTTCTGTTTACTCTTACCTGTATCTTTAATATTAAAATCTTTCTCCTAACATCTGGAAGTTCTTGACTGTCTGCCAGGTGAGGCAGAAAACAGCTGATTGGGCCACACATGGTGGCTCACACCTGTAATCCCAACACTTTGGGAGGCGAAGGTGGGAGGATTGCTTGAGCCCTGGAGGTCGAGGCTGCAGTGAGCCGTGATTGCACCACTACACTGCAGCCTGGGTGACACCATGTCTTAAAAAAAAAAAAATCCCTAGCTGATTGGAAACTGTGTGTGTGGATGGGATTTGTTAACTGTGGGCTTCTGCACAGGGTGACCTTATCGGAAATGATCAGGAGCCCCTCATGTCGGTATCCTTTGTCTTTTTTCTTTGGCTGCTCGGTTTCACCAGAGAAGAATCTTGCAATCTCCTCTCTGGAGGGTCTGTGTCAGGCTTCCAGCCTACTGGGGAAGACGGCTGGGGCTGTATGAAAATTTTCACTTAATCCTCTTGTTTAAATACATTACCCTCTCCAGTGATTAAACCTTCAGTGTTTTGCTGGGTAGGGGGCCGTCACCCAGCTGCAACAACTTGGAGATGTTATCTAAATATTTCTTCAATAGACTTCCAACCAAAGCTCTGTTTTCTCCTCTGTTTCCCAGTTCTGCAGGGCAAATTGGGATTCTTCTCAGTGTTCACCATCATCGGTTTAGGATTCTGCTTCCTTGGCTCTTCTATCAGTTACCACTAGCCTTTAAAAAATAATAATAATAATAATAGGGCCATGCGCGGTGGCTCACGCCTGTAATCTCAGCACTTTGGGAGGCCGAGATGGGCAGATCACCAGGTCAGGAGATCGAGACCATCCTGCCTAACACAGTGAAACCCTGTCTCTACTAAAAATACAAAAAAATTAGCCGGGCATAGTGGCGGGCACCTGTAGTCCCAGCTACTCGGGAGGCTGAGGCAGGAGAATGGCATGAACCCAGGAGGCAGAGCTGAGATCACGCCACTGCACTCCAGCCTGGGCGACTGAGTGAGACTCAGTCTCAAAAAAAAAAAAAAAAAAAAAAAAAAAAAGGAAACAATTGTTCATGTCACAGTTTTCAATTTACTCACAAAGAACATCTTTTCATGTCAATAAATATTCTCTGAAAGATAATTGTACATAGTTGTCTTGTATCCCTTCATATGTATGTATCATGATTTATTTAACTAACTTTCTACTGTGGGACAAATTTTGGTTCTTTCCAAACTCTTTATATTATAAGCAACAGTGTGTTGAACATTTTTGTTGCAAAAACTCTGTTTATGCTGTTATTTCCTCAAATTCAATTCAGTGCTACTTTTGACAGTACTACTTTTGGTGGCTTTTAATCCCATGCTTTGTGAGATGAAGTCTCTGCAAATATGTATGTTTGGGAATGCTACAATTCTTCACGGGTCTGGAAACCAGTTTTAAAAGCTCCACACATTTCTGCTGTTGTACAGTTCAGTTTGGAAGCCACCGTGGTCGTAGACTCAGTTGCCATTTACCTAAGGAATGCTGTGCCGATAGAGGCCAGAGTGAAGCAGTAGAAGAAAAATGGGCAGGGCAAGGGGTGTCTGGCTTAGAATGACAAACAGCCCAAGATTAGTAGAAAGCACATGGCATAATCTACCTACTTAGCACTAGGATGTGCTTAGAGCTCTATACAGTGGGAAGTATTGCTTTAGGCAGAATTTCATTAAAAGTACTCATGACTCCTCTGAAATAAGTCACATTCATTTGGAAGCAAAACTTAAGTGTGCTTTTTTTTTTTTGATAAAAAGAGTGTTTTACACTGCTGAGATTTTTGAGTGAGGGCTCCAGAAAACAAGTACCATTTCAGCAAAGTCAGATAAAAGACAGAGTCTAGTAATTCTTAAACTAGTGAGCAGAAACCTCATAAGGCAAGCTTGTTACAAAGCAGGTTTCTGGTTTCTGGACTTCATTGCTTTTTTTTTTTTTTTTTTTTCTTAGGGGGTCTTGCTCTGTTGCCCAGGCTGGAATGCAGTGGCATGATCATGGCTCACTGCAGCCTCGACCTCCTGGGCTCAATCGATCCTCCAACCTCAGCTACCCAAGTAGCTAGGACCACAGGCATGTACCACCATGCCCAGCTAATTTTTTAATTTTTCTGTAGAGACAGGGTCTCACTGTGCTGCCGAGGCTGGTCTCAAACTCCTGGCTTCAAGCAATCCTCCTGCTTTAGCATCCCAAAATTCTGGGATTACATGCCTGAGCCACCCTGCGCAGCTCATTCTGATAGTGATAGGAAGCAGCCAAACACCTAGATAGATAGGGGTGGGTACCCGGTGAAACCCCGCCTCCAAACTGAAGACAATTTAAAGCTGAAAAGCCAAGCTACAAGTTAAATCCTCCCAGCTGATTGAGAACTTGTCTTCCTGTTTGGTGTGCTTTCCCCTGATTGGTCCCCACCCTTCACTTATTTTACAAGTACCTACCCTTTCCTAATTGGTTTTCTACACTGTCATACCCACCTTTGAGTGGTGTCTTTGCTTTAACCTTTTTAGCCTACTCACACACCAATCAGCACACACTCCCCATTTTGAGTCCATAAAGGCCCCAGACCCAGCCACACGGGGGAACTTTCCCGCCTTTGGGTAGGAGGACCAACCCTGCATCTCCTCTTTGCTGAAAGCCATTTTCATGGCTCAGTAAAATTCTCCACCTTCACCATCCTTCAACAGTCCATGTGACCTCATTCTTCTTGGACCTGGACAAGAGCTTGGGACTCACCACGTGTGGGTACCCAGAAAAGGCTGTCACACTGGCCCTTGCCAGTAGAGGGCAGCTGCCCCAAGCCACCATGAGGCAAGAGGCTGAGCTGCTAACGCACCGCCCTCCATATAACCGCCAATGGAGGAACTGAAGGAGCACTGTAACACCCTCTCTGGGGCTTCCGGGCCAGGACCCCGCACAGAACTTGCTCCTGTTTTGTGCCTGGAGCAGCTAGCTGGGTTCTGCCCTCACTTGTTCACGTGCTCCCTCCTGCAAGGGGTTGAGCCTGGCAGGCCGGCCGAGTAGAGGGGGTGCCCCCGCTGGCAGAGGGGCCGAGAAAAAGGAATCTGATGTCAGTGGTCCATGGATCACAATTTGAGAAACTTAGACTGTTTTGACTGTTTTGTCAGAAATCACCAGAGTTGCTTGAATCTGGAAACTTATCTGGAATTCCCTTGTTACCTGTCACAGGATTTTAGGCTTAAGGCTGAGAAGAGTTTTTAACATCAAACAGGGCACAACCCTTGGCTGACCGACTTCCAAGCGGCTTTTATGGAGCCAGTGTCAAGCAAACGTTTGGGATGGTAAGGTTTTCTAACGTTGTTCGGGCAGCTGTCTCTTTGCTAGGAGTACTTAAAATTCAGCAATCCCTTCAGAAAGCAAGGGCTGTCACGCTGGAAGGCTGTATAGAGCTTGGTAATGGGCTTTGAAAAGCGGTAATCAGGGAAACTGAACAAACAGGCCGGCTTGAAAAACAGGCCTCAGGAATAGGAAATGGCCACTTACAATTTGGAAGCCCATTTTTTGAGGTCCCTGTTCCTCTCTGTGTCCTTTTTGTGTTCTAACAACGCCCCTCCTCCCTCTGAGGCCTGTCGCTCTACTTTGAATAACTCTAGAGTCAAATTAAGACGCAAATACTCGAATGTTTGACCCTAACAGGTAGTCAATGCCCTCAGCCTAGAGAGTCGGGTTGGGGCCTGGCGGTGTGAAGCTCTCGCAGCTCTCAGGAGTTAGTTACTGAAAGTTCCATGAGGGAAGGTCGTTTTCGCTGCAGAGTGGCCCAAACACGCTCCCACTTCTGTCCCTCCGGGCCACAGGCTGCAGCGCAGGGCCTCTAGGGTCAAAAGTTGCGGGCGGTGAAGCCCACAGTGCCTGCCTGGGCCGTCGCGTCAATCGCGACTTGTACCCGCCGGACCCGCCCCTGCCCTTGGAGGCGCCAGCGACGCCTGCTGCAGAGGGTAAGCGCTGCGGGGTTCCCGGACGTCCTGAACCGAGCGCCGGACCGCGGGCGAGCCCTGAGATCTGCAGGTTCTCGCCAGCTCCTCCGCGCGTCAGGAGCGCCGGCCGGGGCGTCCGGTCCACCCGGGATTCAAGTTCAGATCCGCGGCGGCCTGGCTGCTTCCCTTCCGCCTGGATAGAGCTGTGGGCCCCGGGGGACTTTCAGTGGTGCAGACACCGCTCCTGCGTGGCTGGGGGCGGCAGTGTCCCTTGTTCCCAGCCGTGTACTCCCTCAGCCTCCCCTGCTGCCCTTGAACACTTTGTCCCTGCGCAGCCCAGGCCAAGGTCTGTTTGCAAACCTCCCGCGTCTCCCCGGTCAGGAGAAGCCGCCTGCTCGCTCCTCGGCTCAGCTCACGAATTCCCTCTAGAAAACACGCCGGAAGGGGGAGCTTTGGGTCAAACGAAAGCTTTTCTGTCCAGAATGGGCCGCCTTCCGTGCACCTGGTTTTAATAAGAGCCTAGGGAGAAATACGGCCGGGGGTGGGGGTGGGGGGCGAAGGATCCCCAAGAAATTCTGTCCAGAGAGAGAAAAAGGGTGCACGAGGACTGTACGTGCGCAGACGCATTCACTGTACGAGGCTTTGTAAAGACCTCGTGCACTTTTCAACTTCAATTGTAGCCTGGAGAGGATGTAGGTTGTAGTGATGTTAGAAATGGGATGTAAACCGCAGTTAAAAACACGTTTATTAACATCGAGGACAAGGAGACTGCGCAGTTGTGCACAATGTATTCTTTTCTTCCCAGTTTTCATAAGAAAAAAGAATATTGAAAAACAACTTCCGCCCCTTCCTATACTCCCACCTTCCTAATCCTCGTGCGCACTTATTTTTACATAGTTGCAATTAGAGGTACACGGCATTCTTAATTCAAATTCTGGCACAAGGGAGGTAAACTACATTCCAGCAGGGCGGAAGTCTTCATTAATTCTAAGAAAAAGATCTCCCAATACATGAACAGGAAGTTAAAGATGATATCGTGCTTTCAACCTATATTATAAAAGTTTAAAGGATAAAGGACATGAAAGGCTTTTAAAAAAGACCTTTGTCAGACGTATAAATGTAAA